>NC_000021.9:6984219-7149527 GCF_000001405.40 Homo sapiens | reverse complement strand
GATCGAGACCATCCTAGCTAACACGGTGAAACTCTGTCTCTACTAAAAAAAAAACCACACACACACAGAGAAAAAAAATTAGCCGGGCGTGGTGACAGGCGCCTGTAGTCCCAGCTACTCAGGAGGCTGAAGCAGGAAGATGGCGTGAACCCAGGAGGCAGAGTGCAGTGAGCCGAGACTGCACCACTGCACTCCCACCTGGGCGACAGAGCGAGACTCCGTCTCAAAAAAAAAAAAAAAAAAAAAAAGATATTCCCTGTAGCATGGCTGAAGTGGAAATAGAATTTATTATGTCAGGCTCCACCAGTATTAAAAGCCTAAATTACTGAGGGAAAGGCCCCACTTATGGAATCTTATAAAGACATATGAGGACACAGCTCCTGTCCTGATGGGGCTATAGAGGTGGGCTCTGGGACACATATGTAAAGAGTCATATAAGACCCTTTTGCATAACTCCCACTTTTTGGGTGAAACCTCTCTCTAGTAACAGTGTGAACTTCTAAGACTTAGAGAAGGTCTGGCAAGGCAGCGAAGCTGCCTGCTCCAGGAAGTATGTGGGGTAGGTAGATATAACAATAAAAATAATAGCAAAATGCAAAGATACTCACAACTTAATGTAAAGTAATAACAACACAAAAGTGTTTCTTTTGACATTCCTGCAAGCATATGACCAGGGACTGTGCACCTAAGTTGCCATTATGGACTAATGGAGGCCAAATTCCTCTGGGAAGGAACTGTGGGTCCTTAATGGAGAAAGCCCTAAAACGGTTTCTGGGGAATCCTCACATTTGGGTCAGGGTCCTGGGCTTCCCTGGTCTTTTCCATTTGGAGACCTCTCTGTGCCCACCTTGACTCCAGACTAGCACGGGCCATGGTTGTTGGCATGATGCACCTGCCTTTTGTTCAATGAGATGGAGTAGTTGGACTCATCAAACAGCTCCTCAGGGATCTCCTCAATAGAGTTCTGCAAAGAGAGTGCCTGGAAGCCTGGCCAAGAGGCATCAATGGCATCCTGGCTTTCCCCACAGGGGAAATTCCAGTTAGAAAGTCTACTCCCCAGATCAGGCACATAGGAGCATTTGCGCAGACCTCCAGCCAGGGAGAAAACAAGAGGACAGCTTGAAGCCTTAGAATAAATGTCTGAACAAACAAAGGTGACCCCCAGCACTCACCTTCCCCTCCTGCCAACTGTAACCTGCGGTATAAATTTGACAGGCTTTTAGCCTCCCAATACCTGGAAACCTGCTCCTGCCAAGAAAGGACCCATTATCTCTTTCTTTCCCACGAGACGTGGAGATGAGGAGGGGTGTGTGCCTGCCGAGATGATATCAAAGGTGAGGCCTGGCCTGGATAGGCCTGCCATGGGTGGCCTTGTGTTATCTATGGGTAACCCTTTCCAAATGGCCAGAAGAGCCAGCAGTGCAGAATGAGCACTGTCTCCATCATAAAAAAAAGTCTCTCTGTTCAAGCCTTCCTGAGATGAGAGCCTCAGAAATTCAAGACATAGCAGGAGAACATCTTGCTGTCTTCAGAGTCTCCTTAGTAAATACAAAGCTGTCTCTAGAATTAGGGCTCCAGGTTACCAGAGTTCTAAACTTTCTTTGAGTTTGTAACTAAGGAAGTGAGGTCACTTCGAGATTCCATCACCTGGGCTCCGGTGCGGGAAATGAACGAGGGGAAAAGAAAAGGCACCCACAATAGTTTTAAGGATAAATAGCCTTTATCCCAAGTGTATGGCAATACAGACTTGATAAGCAAATAATATAATAAGCAAATTGCAATGGGAAGGACAGAAAGAAAATATATATATGTATATTTATATACATATACATGTATATAAATATACATATATGTATATGTATATTTACACGCACCAGACTATGGAGGATTCATTACCAGACTGGGAAGCAACAGCCTGGGCTCCAGAGTCAGCCACGTGTCCATGCACAGATGAGGAGAGGTCTCATGAAACTTCAGCACAGTCTGGGACCCTAGCTCTTTTTGTAATGTGTTGTTTGGCATGAGGCGCAGTCACAGGTGCCCTTCACAACTGGGCTCAAGGAACACAAAAGATCAACTTGTTTTTGCAATTGTCTGTTGTTTTTTCAATAACTAATGTATAGGAATGGATTGAAAGATTTCTCTGAAACAGCGCTGGATGAACACCTCAAGGGGTTCATGCAACCTGTTCCAGGACTTCGTGACCATTGTTTGTGCCCATGTTCAATTGAGTTCATATTAAATATTTAACTTTTCCTCCACATTAGATTCCCAATTCTCAGAACCATGTCCACTGCCACAGGGCCTGGCTGGGAATATTGTCACTCATAGAGTTTAGAAGATGGAATGCTGGTCAGTGATGATGCTAGGGTGTTAGGTGAAGGCAGCCGGGACAGTCCCTCTAGGTTGAGGGAGGAGCTGGCCTCTCTTGTGGGGTCCTTGGCATGTCATTGCCGCTTTGGGCCTCTGTTTTCTTATGTGGAAAATGTAGGAATGATGAGCCTGTTGGGCAGGCCTCACAAGGTGGTGATGGGGCTCAGGGAGACAGAGAATCTGAGGGTGCTTGTGTCTGGCTCATCCTGAGAGGGAAGATGGTGACAGCAATCATGACAACCACATGAAACCGAGGTGGTAAGAGGCCTTGTGAGGTGGTTGGTTCCCACCACACTTTCCAGTTGAGGAAACAGCTCAGGGAAACCCGACTGCATGCCCAAAATGACACATCCAGGGAGTGTTGGACCTGGGAGTGAGTCTAGAGTCAGAGCTTACTGGAGATGGTCAGAGCATTGGACAAGCTGACTCAGGCCACTTATCCGTGTCCAAGGTTAGTGTGGCTGAGGCGTAACTGAAAGAAGCATATTTTCACTGACCTTGTCCCTCATCCTAGCAGGTGAACACCGTACAAGTTGTCTACCCTGTAGCGGAGCCTCAGAGAGCTTAGATGAGGCTGTGACAGCAGAAGGTGAATGTGTCTGTGATGGGGAAGGGCTCCAGGGTTTCAGAGAACAGAGCTTACTTCTCCCAGCTGGAAACCTCCAAATCAAAAAAGCAGAGGGCCTTTCTACTCCAGCCCTTTTCTCCTGGGGCTGCAGTGCCTAAAACACCTTCATTAGACAGACCAGAGCAAGGCCTGGGAGAGCTGGGCTCCGTGTGGCTTTTAAAACAGGTGGAGCCAGGGACCACATGACCTTGTGGCTTGTTAAAATCCCACCAAGGAGGTAATTATGGTGAGGTTGGTGGCAATAGAGGCCAGCTAATGGGAAGACATAGAGAATTGGGAAAAGGCAGCTGAGGGTTCTCAGCTACTCCAAGTGGGTAACCTAGGTAGAGGGCGCCAGGAGGCAGGGGTTTATAAGAGTTCAGCGGACAGGACTTGGGTGGGCACCTCCCAAGTCATGCCCTCTCTGGGGACATTCCTCACTGATGTGGTGATGCTGGACATTGCCATGAAGGAGTGTGTGGATGTGAGTGAGCCTGGAGAAGACAGGTCAGGGACCAGGATCCTGAGGCCTGGGAGAAGAGAGTCTTGAACTGAGCTCCTAGATCTCAGTCCTTGCCAAAATTTTTTGCGAGGGCCTCGCAGCCCTCCCCATCCCGTAAACAGGGTATTTTACTCATGAGTGATGGAGGCTCCACAGCAGCCATCAGTCCCACTCCCTGAGTAGTGAAGCTGCAGAGCTGCAAGACCTCTTTTGTGCACATTCCCTGACCCTGGTGGCTCTGGTAGTGGTGAAGCTTGGAAATCGCTGGAAATGGAGGCTAGTTATGGACCAGCGGACCTTTCTGATGGTCTTTGGCTTTCTGTCTTCCAGAGAAATGTGATCAAAACCCAGAAAAACAGAAAGGTGAGCAGTAGCTGAAGTCCTCACTTTGAGGGAGGGTGGAGGTGGAAATGAGAAATCACCCTGGGCAGGACATTCCCTGGTCCCTTCTTCCGCATCTAAGATTTATTGAAAGGGAGTAATACACAGAGAAGGAGGAGACCTATCCTAATGCAGGGTGCAATCAGGGGAGTGAAGTTGATGACAACTTCCTAGAGGAAGGGCCGTTTACATTCAACTCTGAGAACCAGTTAGGGCTGCATGATATTGGAGGGGAGGTGAGAGCCCCTTAAAAGAAACACCTCAGAGACCAGCCCTCCTCCCTTCTTTTATAAGGCCCCTACAGAGTCTTTCACCCAGGCCCTGTCAGCATCCTGTCTTTCCCTCTGTTTCCAGAAGATTAAAGTCCTCCAGGAGATGCAGCAGTTCCACACAGCTGGAAACCATCATCATCTTCAGACTCAAGAGGAATTTCGGGCTTTGTTCCAAGCCTGGAGCAGCACAATCAGAATAAAAGGCAAAGACCTAGCAGATGAGCAGAGGGTAGGAGGGGAGACTGTCTTGCCGCCAGCCTCACACAGCGTGTGGCCATGGTTCCCTGGCCGGCATCAGGTCCTGTTGCACCTGGACTCCAGCTGCTGGGGAGGAACTGGGGGACCTGAGGTGTGGCTTCTGGAACCTCACAGCTGTCACTCTTCTCTGAAGTTGCTAGCCATGAAGAACAGGCTGTGATAAAATCTCAGAGCCATTAAGTGCCTGTTGTTGGAATTGCTTTCATGGCTCATTGAAGTTTGTACTAAGCATGGGCTCTGGCAGTCAGGCAGCTCAAGTAGGGTTCCAGCCACACCATTGACCAGCCCTGCGAGTGGGGCAGAAAGCTCACTACTCTGGCACTTGAGGCATCACGTCGTAAATTTAATGCAACCAATCCCTTTTTCACTGTTACCTACCTTTCTCTATAAACACCATGACCTGATCTCTGCTAGCATTTTTCTTAAAATGGATAAACATATGTTATATAGTATATATTATTCTTCCTCATGATTTTTTTGCTATATTGTCTCTTTCCACTCATATGAGATATTTACAGCAGTTAAGTTCATAGAAACACGAAGTAGAAGAGTAGTTTCCAGGGACTACACAAAGGGCAATGGAAGGGGAGTGTTGTTTACTGGGTACAGAGTTTCACTTTTAAAAGATTGAAAAACAGTTCCTTATGAACTTGGACAATGGTTGCAAAACAATGTGAATGTATTTAATTTCTTTAAACTGCACACAAAAAAAATAATAAAATGGTTAATTTCATGTATTTTTATATTTTACTAAAAGGTAAAAACTACTTTCTAAAATGAACAGACTATAGCTATTTGCAACTGGTGGGTGAATATCACAAATGTAATGTTGCATAAAAGAAAGCAGACATGCCAGTTTGGGCAACATAGTGAAACCCTGTCTCTACCAAAAATACAAAACAATTAGCCGGGCATGGTGGTGCAAGGCTGCGGTCCCAGTGACTCAAAAGGCTGAAGTGGAAGGATATCTTAAGCCTGGTAGGCAGAGGTTGCAGTGAGATCATGCCACTGCACACCAACCTGGGGAAAAGAAAGAAAGAAAAAAGAAGAGAGAAAGAAAGAAGGAAAGAAAGAGAGAAAGAAAGAAGACAGAAAAGGAAAGAAAGAAAGAAAACAGAAAAGGAAATAAAGAAAACAGATGTACAAGTATACATACTATATAATTTTGTTTATATAAAATGCTACAATCAAATAAAACTGAGGTTCTGACTTCCACTAAGTGTGGACTAGCTTGTTGAACTCTCACAAATAACAATGATGAAACTTGAATAAAATATATTATTATAGAAAAACGCCTATGCATAATACATATATGATATGTGTGTTTAACAACTGAATGAAGATTTCAGCTATACCCACTGTAGCGGACATAAGCATTGGTTTGACACTAGCCCAATGAACCCTGTTTATAAAACAAAAGTCTTCAAGGTAAAACAGCAAAATCCAGAGTTTCTATTCTATAATTATCATTTATAGTTTCTAGTGCACAATTTTAAAATTCATAAGACTTGTAAAGAAACGTGAAAATGTCATCCATACACAATATCAAAAGCAGGCAGTAGAAGCTATCCCAGGATGTTGCAATCAGCAGACAAGAATTTGAAGGCAGTTTTTATGAATATGTTCATGGGGAAAAAAGAAAATATTCTATTCATAAACAAACAGATGTGGAACTTCAGCAGAGAAATGAACATATATATAAAAAAATTATAGATAAGGAAATGAAAAAAATCTTTTGAGTTTAGCCATAGATTTAAAACAGAAGACACAGCAATAGAAATTATCCAGTCTGGAAAAAAAAAGTACAAAAAGTTTAAAGGAAATGAACAGAACTCTCGAGACCTGTGGAATGACTGAGTCTAAGGAGAAGGGAGAGACAAAAAATAATTAAATAGGGAACAGAAGTAAATCAACAACTAATAGCGGAATACTTCCAAAAACTGTCCAAATACCTAAATATTTATATCCAAAAGGTCAATAAATACAAAACAAAATACAAATAAAACCACAGCAAGGCCATATCGTGGTTTATGAAACAGGCAAGGCAGGGCTTTTGCTTGACTTGCTGTGATATCTAATTGCTACTATTTATGGATACTATGGAAATAAATACTAAATAGAATGGGAGATAGGTTATTCTCAGAGTTTTTTTTTTTTTTTTTTTTGCAAAGATGACTGTTATTAAAGGTAGATGACTTTCCAGCATGTCGAAAGGGGCGTGGCAGGGGAGGGGCGAGGAGAAGGGTCGGGGCTGAGGGAGGGGCCCTGCAAAGGTCTGGGCGCGCCCAGCTCCCCGAAAGCAAGCGTTACAGCAACGCTGGGCAGGCTGTTGGAGGCTCCCGGGCTCTGTCTTGTCAGAGAGAAATCAAACTTCAGGCACAAATAGTCGTACAACTGGCACGTGGGGAGACTGTGCCACAATTACAAGTGAGACCACCTGCCCTGGCCACGCTGTCTCCTCGCACGCAGAAGTTTGGGAACAGATAGGCTCCCCTCAGCAGGGCGGAATTGCACTGGAAACATGGAGGGGCGGAGGAGAAGATGAAATTATCCCCTCAGTGTTGGAACTGTAGTCTCAGAGAAGATGAAATTTTCCCCGTAGTGTTGGAACTGTAGTCTCAGATCCACTCCCAGCCTTTCTGTCGCGGCAGTCGGACTATGATCCCAGCATGCGCTGGGCTTAAGGGAGGTTCCCAGCCCTGGAGGAAGGGTCAACAGGGTGGGTCCCTCGCAAGGCGTCCTGGGAGTCATAGTCCTTAAACAGTTTCCAGCACGTTGATCGCAAGGCTACCGAACTACAATGCCAGCATGCACCGGGATTGGGGCGGTGTGTAACGCTGGAGGGAAGGATAGAGAGGCGCGTCCCTGGCCAGGGATGCTGGGAGTTATGGTCTCTTAACGGTTTCCAGCGATGGCCCCCGGCCTGCAGACTACAATCCCAGCAGCCACCGGGCTTCGAGGCGGTGTGTAGCACTGAAGGGAAGGATAGGGAGGTGCGTCCTTAGCCAGGCGTGCTGGCAGTTATGGTCTCTTAACAGTTTCCAGTCAGTTGGTCCCAGGACTACCTGACTACAATCCCAGTATGCGTTGGGCTTGGGGGCGGTGCGCAGCCCTAGAGGAAGGATCGGGACGGCGGGTACCTCGCAAAGCATCCTGGGAGTCATAGTCCTTTCAGTATTTCCAGCCCATTGGTCGCGAGGCTAACGGACTACAATCTCAGCATGCGCTGGGTTTGGGGGCGGTGTGTAGTATGGAAGCGAAGGATAGGGAGGCGCGTCCCTAGCTAGGAGTGCTGGGAGTTATGGTGTCTTAACGGTTTCCAGCCCATTGGTCGCCGACCTGCTAACTACAAAACCAGCATGCGCTGTCTGTCCTACCCCGTGGTGCGCAGCCCTGGAGGGAGGGACAGGGCGGTGTGGACTCGTCCTTTCCTAAGCGATGCCACATGCTGATTCTGTGCCACCCCCTCGCCAAGGGAGTCCGCAGAAGGACTTGAGGGGCAGGTCTAGGCTGGGCGATGAGGACGGTGTGACCCTGCGAAGTGCACCTCCCTTGCTCAAATCGGAGGGGTCTGGTCCTCACTGAACAGCCCGCTGAACATCTCGGTGTCCTCTCACATACACACCCGCGGGGGGTTTCCAGAGCATCGCACCTCTTCCAGCCCAGGGAGCCGCCTGCTCTGCTAAACTCTATGGGAACTGAGACATCCACCTGCTGCGTGACCCACCCGTGCGCAACTTCAGAGCTTTCAGGGGGTGATGCGGGCTGTGGCTCCTTCGTGAAAATGTCACCGTCTGCAGCGCCTTTCTTGTGATATAGAACTTGACGGGTGAGAGCGGGTATTTCTTGGGTTACTCAGGATCTGCTAACAGCAGAGGAGAAAACCACAATTCCCAGGCATAAGAATCTACCTAAAGACGATGGTTTAGATATTTTACAGTTGAAATCACCAGCCTCATCTCAACTGAGTCCTGACTGACGAGTGTCTCAAAAAAGCAGTTGGTGACCTCATCCCTCAGGAACAGGTGGTGCTCCAGCTTTGTGGGGATGACTTTCAAGGTGCAGAGCACTTGAGCCGCATTTGAAGTCATTCATGTTTTACATCTCTGCTTTGGATGGAAAGTTGATCCCCCACAGCCGTTGGGGATGTACCTTAATATACTGGGGCTTATGAGTTAAATTTTTCTGTCTAGACAATGAAAACCCAGAAGTTCCACTTGCAGGTAGCCTCTTAATAATCGACG
The DNA here is from genome assembly GCF_000001405.40 of Homo sapiens. Classification (NCBI taxonomy): domain Eukaryota; kingdom Metazoa; phylum Chordata; class Mammalia; order Primates; family Hominidae; genus Homo; species Homo sapiens. Next base: position 7,140,890 of record NC_000021.9, on the reverse strand, counting down.
TCCCTAAGTTCCTTATGTCCTCAGGATAGTTCCTTTTGTTCCCAGATGTTACCAACTTTGATGATGCATCTAATCTGTATAAACCTGTGTATTTCTCTATGTGAAAAGAATACTTTGTTCAAATTACATGTTCTTATAATTTTCACTTGTGATCGGTGAGTATGGGACACTATAAAAAAATCCTGAAAAACCTCATCATAGCAATTGAATCACGTTACTGTACTTTATGAGGAATTAACCCCTTCAGGATGAATTACTCATGGGTTCATCAGCACATTTGTGAAGAAAGGAAGAAAAACTGTATGGCCTTTATGAAATTGGAAAAATAAAGAACTATATATAGGAGGACCACAGCACAATACTAGGGCCCTTCTCTTATTTTAAATAGACTCTATGGGGTCGAATGCCTGCATTCCTAACCTATCCTGCAGTATTCTCATCCTACTCTTCACTGTGTATTTAGGTGTGGGTTTCTGAATTCACTTGTCCACAGCGTTAGTGGGGATGTTGTAACGTGAGGGTATCCATCATCTATCATCTTAATAATTAGTGAAGAGAAGAGCCTTGAGATCTGTCTTCAGATACACTGCTGCCGAGTATGTGCCTGCAAAGACACTGCCCACACCGGTGGTCTCAGAAAGTTGAACCTGATGCCACCACAAGCTGCTGTTCACAGATCTAGGTGCTCCTGGTGATTTGAGTCTCCTGCTTACATTTGTGGTTGTGAACCTGCTATGCTCACCCCATTTATGGTAGTATATTTTGTGTCACCTTTTCTATTCCATTTGTTTCCTGGGAACTCACTGTGTAGCTGCAATTCAGAGAATATGTAGGGATTCCACCCCCGACTACCTAAGTCACTGTACACTGGTCACATTTGTGTCATGTTTTCAGACTACACACTCTTCCTCTCTAATGGAATTTGTTGAAGAAATATAGTTGCCTGTAGATCTCCTCAGTGTAATGTGGCTGGGATTGATTGTGAAGCTGGGCATGTTGTCCTTGGCCTCATAGACATTATTCAAAATACCTTTCCCATATTTTGAAGTTTGATACTACTTTGTTAATGTGAACACTTGCCATAGCAGGCTCTATTAAATATCTCTGTGAATTTAACTGTCAAAACAACTTATGAAGTAGGCACATGATCCCCATTTTACAGGTGAGGAAACAAATGTTCCAAGATTTTGAGTAATTTTATTAACTTTACACAGCTTTCTGGTGCATTTTGAATCTTAAGTTGGATCTCTTTCTCCACAATATATGGGCTTACCTCCTTTTCTATTTTGTGCCTCTCTGCTAGCATCTGCAAGGGTACATTTTATTTTTAGTACATCTTCCACTTGATGGTAGGAAACTTGACAAACAGATCCTTAGTGGGAGAGGAAACTCACTGGCATTTGTCCTTCTCTCTGCTCCTTCTTACCCTGGCAGGCATGAGACTTATCAAGTGAGATGGAGCAGTGGTAGATCCTGACCAGTCCTCACCTGGAATATTTGTTATTATAAAAAAATAGTCCTCTCATTTTTTACAAGTGTAACTTCTTTGCCTTAAAGTTTTGTCTGGGCTTTCTCTTACAGGTTCCTGCGAATTAAGTTGCAAATATTGATGAAGATAATACTACTGCCTTGCTGTCAAACAGTAACAGTCACCTTTTTTTGTATCTCCAATTATAAATGCAATGCGTACTGTAAAAAGAAAAGAAAACATCATAAATATCTTTATAAAGTAAAAGTCTTGGCTGGTCGCCGGGAGCAGTGACTCATGCCTGTAATCTCAGCACTTTGTGAGGCCGAGGTGGGTGGATCATGAGGTCAGGAATTTGAGGCCAGCCTAGCTGACATGGTGGAACCCCATCTCTGCTAAAAAATACAAAAATTAGCTGGTCTCGGTGGCGGGTGCCTATAATCCCAGCTACCCACGAGGCTGAGGCAGGAGAATCACTTGAACCCAGGAGGCAAATGGTGCAGTGAGCCAAGATCGTGCCATTGCACTCTAGCCTGGGCAACAGAGTGAGACTCCATCTCAAAAACAAAACCAAACAAAAAACTTGGTTGGCCTAGTGGCTCAATCCCAGCACTTTGGGAGCCCAAGGCAGGTGAATTGTTTGAGCCCAGAAGCTCAAGACCAGTGTGAGCAACATGGTAAAACCCTCTCTCTACAAAAATACAAAAATTAACCAGTTGTGGTGATGTACACCTGTATTCCCAGCTACTAGGGAGGCTGAGGTGGGAGGATTGTTTGAGCCTGGGAGGCCAAGTTTGCAGTGAGCTGAAATCACACCACTGCGCTTCCATGTGGGCAACAAAGTGAGACCCTGACTCAAAAAATAAAAAACACATTAAACTGAAAGTCCCCTTTATTCCCTTCTCTTCAAACTCACTTTTTTTATTTGAAAAAACTGTTAAGAGGTTGTTTTTTATTCTTCTGGCTAAGTTGTATAAATTTCTTTTTTTTTCGAGACAGACTCTCGCTCTGTTGTCCAGGCTGGAGTGCAGCGGCGCGATCCCGGCTCACTGCAAGCTCTGCCTCCCGGTTTCACGCCATTCTCCTGCCTCAGCCTCCCGAGTAGCTGAGACTAGAGTTGCCCGCCACCACACCCGGCTAATTTTTTGTATTTTTAGTAGAGACAGGGTTTCACCGTGTTAGCCAGGATGGTCTTGGTCTCGATATCCGGCCCCCTGATCTGCCCACTTCGTCTTCTCAGAGTGCTGGGATTAGAGGCGTGAGCCACCGCCCCCGGCCTGTTCTATAAATTTCTAAGTGATACACACATAAAGTTTATTTTAAAAATTACATCACACTACATTAAAATTTACTCTTTCTCCAGGTGTATTCCATCTATCTATCTATCTATCTATCATCTATCATCTATCTATCTATGACAAGGCCTTGCTCTGTCACACAGACTGGAGTTCAGTAGCTCAATTATGGCTCACTGCAGACTCAAACTCTCAGGCTCAAATGATTTTCTAACTTCAGCTTCTGAAGTAGCTGGGAGTACAGGTGCATGCCACTACTCCTGGTTAATTTTTAGTTTTTGTTTGTTTTTTTCTTTAAACAGGGTCTCACTGTGTCACCTGGGCTGGAATGCAATGCATAATCACAGCTCACTCTAGCCTTGACCACTCAGGCTCAGGCAATTCTCCTGCCTCAGCCTCCTGAGCAGATGGGACCACAAATGTGTATTAACACACTTGGCTGTTTATTATTATTTGCAGAGACAGGGTCTCCCTATCCTGCCCAGGCATGTTGTGAACTCTTGTGCTTAAGCAATCTGCTACCTCGGCCTCCCAAATTGCTGGAATTACAGGTGTGAGCCACCACAACTTACCCAGCCTTTTTACTTTGTGTAAGAATAGCATCAGTGTATTAAAAATACAACGGAAATTATTTATGGTGTCTTTTCAATTCTTATGCATTAAAATTCTCTTATTAGGGCCTTTTATTAATGGTTACAGTGTATTTTCTGTGAAATTTTACTGTCACACACTGCATGCCAATGATTCAAGATACCCGAACTTCATGAATGCACAGTCACAGTAGAATATTTTAGTTATCTAAAAAGTATTTTCATAAATGATATATCAAGTTTATATGCAAGGTAGCCTGGTCTGGTAGCAGGTGCTTGTAATCTCAGTGAAGGCTGAGGCAGGAGAATGGTTTGAACTCAGGAGGCGGAGGTTGAAATGAGCCGTCGTCTCGCCACTGCACTTCAGCTTGGGTGACAGAGTGAGACTCTGTCTCAAAAAAAGAAAAAAACTTTGCTTGCAAGATTTTATGAGTAAATATGTTTCTTATTTTTCTTTACAATTCCATATTACTGTCTCGATTATTTATAATAGGTTCCAGGGCAGCAGTTGATTTTATTTTGGGTTTTACTTATGTATTATAACTTTGGATGTTATAATTTCCAACTCTGCCTGTACACTTCAAGTCAATGTGGATTTTTAAAAAAATGTTAATAGTACAAACTATTCATAGATTCAACTTCGTAATGTTAAAAGCAACGGCAGCTCCTGGTTTAAAAAGGGAACGGTGGAAGCAGCCGGCCATTTTATTTAAAATCGCGTTAGATTTTTCAGAAGGATGATAGTTAAGATCATTAAATCCCATTACTGCTTCTAAGATTTCCACAAAATAGCACATTAAATCCTCAGTCCTAAACAATCACGACAGAGATTCAAAATTGCCTCTCAATGTCAAGGTAAACAGCGCACTATCTTCTCTTGCAATAAAGGTACATCATTTGATATACAAGGGAGCATAGCAGTCAGACACTTACAAGATCGTGCTGTAGAAATAACTTCCATGTTTTCATCCGCCATGTGTATCCTCACCTCTGTCTCCCATGCAGTAACACTATCAGTTTCCTCATCTGTCCTTTCTACTTTCTTTTAAAGAGGAGGCTGATTGCAGACAATACATGACAGAGGCATTTCAAATCAGAAAGGAGTTTCTTGAGATATACGTGATTTTAGTTTTAAGTAGAATGTCCTGAAGAGTTTTAGTTACAATACCACCTTCAAGAGGATGGTGGTGAAATTCATAGTAAACATTTGGCAAAATATAGGTTATGAGGCAGCCATCTCCTAGAAACACTTCATCGGGGTTTATATATGAAATGTGAAATATCGTAGGTTTAATCCTGGCACAGAACCAAAACTGAGTGCATTGCACTTGAACAGCTGACCAATCCCCAGCACAGGTCCATATGAAGAAACGGAGAAGAAAGAATCCTTTTAACCACAGAAAGGTCTTCATTTGCCCAAACTGAAAACCAAATTTCACTCAGGAAACTAATGTTGGGTTTAATTAAAATATAAATCGGTCATACGTTTTCAAAATTAAATTATATATGTGTTTGTCTCTATAAATATGTCCCCAACTTTGCTCATGGCTTATCTTCCATATTTTTTGGCTGATTTTCAGTGGTTGTCTTATCTTGTGTGGATGAATAGTCATTGAAATAATCTTAATTTCACAATGTGTTTAATTATAAATCTATACTTCCTTTGTGTGAGAGAAAATCTTTTGTGAACAAAATTTAATTTTTGGAAAGCTTTATAAGTCCATATTTTTCCTTTTAAAAATTGCGATTGTGGTAAAAACACATAATGTAAAATTTACCATTTTAATTCTTTTTAAGTGTATATTTCATTAGCGTTAAGTACATTCACATAGTTATGCAAAAGATCTGTAGAACTTCTATGTCTTGCAAAACTAACATTAAATGTCTTTTAAGACAATTGCCCATTTTACCATCTCTTCAGTCCTTGACAAACACCATTCTAACTTTTTTTTTCTATGAGTTTGTCTACTTAAGATACCTGATTATGAATGGAATCATAGACTGTCACTTTGTTCCTGGCTTATTTCAGTTAACGTGATATTCTCAAGAATAATCATATAATGTGACTTTTTAAAGACTGAATAATATTCGACTTTGTGTATGTGCCACTTGTTGTTAATCTCTTCATTGGTCAAGGGACAGCTGGGTTGTTTCTGCCTTTTGGCTTGTGTTAGTAATGCTGCAATAAATTTGGGTGTGCAAATATCTCTTCCGGATCATGTGTTGTATATTTTAAATACATAGCCAGAATGGGGTTTGCTGGATTGTATAATAATCTCATTTTAAATTTTTTGAAGAGCTTTCATACTATTTTAAAAATAGGTTTGATGTGATAGATTATTGTGACTTTTCTTTGTATTTTTCTAGAAGAGAGTTGTCGAGTATCCTTTTAAATGCCTAGTCATTTCTATGTCTTCTTTGGAGAAAGTCATTTCAAACATGTGCCATTCTAAATCAAGTTATTAACTTTTTTTGTTGTTGAGTTTTAGGAATTTATATATTTTGAAAATTAACACCTACCAAATATGTGATTAGAAAATATTTTTACTCTTTTTAGTTATATGTATGTATGTATGCATATATATAACCCTATACAAGACAGGGTCTTGCTATGTTTTCATGGCTAGTCTCAAACTTTTGGTCTCAAGTGATTGTTCTGCCTTGGCCTCCTAAAGTTGTAGAATTAAAGGCATGAGACACCATGCCTAGCTTTCACCCACTTATTAGGTGACGTTTGTATGGCACTAAATGTTTTATTTGATGTGTAGAATAGTTGAAGCTTAATGTAGTCCCTTTTCTTGGTCGTTGTTCTTTTCCTTGTTGCTTATGAATTTGATGTCAAACTTAAGGAAAGAGTTTTAAGACTTATGTCATAAACTTTTCCCTTATGTTTACTTCTAAGAATTTTATTAGGTTTTATGTTTAAGTATTGAATTCATTTTAAAAACTTTTCTTTTTATATATGATACAAAGGAAGCATCCAACTTTATTTTTTTCTCTGTAAATATTCAATTTGGAAAACTCTTTGTTAAATGGATTCTTATTTTTCTATTGTGTGGTCATGGAAAGCTTACGGAAGATTATTTTATCACATATGCAAGGGTTTATTTCTGGGATCTCTATTCTGTTTCGTCATCTATGTATCTGTTTTTGTGGCAATACCACATTGTTTTTATTTTTGTAGCTTTGTATCATGATTTTGAATCAGAAAATGTAATACCTCTTTGTTCTTTTTAAAGGGTGTTTGGCTAGTCACCTGTCCTAAGCAACGTTTAGAATTATACACAAAAATTCTGCAAAAAAAATACCATTGGGATTTTGACAAAAATTACCTTACATTTTTATATCATCATGAGTAGTACTGACAACATTTTTTTTTTTTTTTTTTTGGAGATGGAGTTTTAGTGAGTCACTCAGGCTGAAGGGCAGGGGTGCGAGATGTGCTCACTGCAGGCTCCGCTTCCCAGGTTCAAGCAATTCTCCAGTCTCAGCCACCAGAGTAGCTGGGATTGCAGTCGTGCACCATCACGTCTAGCTAACTTTTGTATTTTTAGTAGAGATAGGGTTTTGCCATATTCACTAGGCTAGTCTCAAACTTCTGATCTCAAGTGATCCACCCACTTTGGCCTCCCAAAGTCCTAGGATTACAGGCATGAGCCTCATGCCGGCCCTGACATCTTAACAATATTAAATCACCTGACACTTGAGCAAGACTATATGAAAGATTTTGCTTAATTTCCTCTTATTTACATATTTGCCACATTTTCTTGCTTTTGAATTCTAGTTTCATTTACATTGTATGGCTTCAGTTTTCTTAAATTTAATAAGACATGTATCCTAACAGAATGTACCATGTGTGATTTAGAATATTGCAGATTTTGCTCCTTTAAATTGGAGAGTTCTGTAAATGCTGGTTGGGTCTATAATGTTCAGGTTTGGCTTTCTTACTGATATTACTTCTGACTATTCTAGTCATTACTGAAAGTGGAGTCTTGAAGTCCACCATTGTTGTGTTGCTATGTATTTCTTGCTTGACTTCTGTCAATATTTGTTTTACATATTTGAAAGACGAGAATCAGTTGAACCTGGGAGGAGGAGGTTGAAGTGAGCCTATCGAGAGATCATGCCACTGCCCTCCAGCCAGAGAGAAAGAAACTCTGTCTCTAAAAAAAAAAAAAGAAAGAAAGATGTCAGTGCTATTTATAGTAATACAAAAATTTAATGTAATTTTTGTCAAAATCTCAGTGGTATATTTTTGCAGATTTTTCAAATTATATATATATGATTTATAAATTATTGTTATAGATTCCTGGAAAGTTAATCCATCTCACCATTACATAATACCAATCTCTCTCGGCCGGGCGCAGTGGCTGACGCCTGTAGTCTCAGCAATTTGGGAGGCCGAGGCGGGTGAATCATGAGGTCCAGAGATCGAGACCATCCTGGCCAACAAGGTGAAACCCCATCTCTACTAAAAAGTACAAAAATTAGCTGGGTGAGGTGGCGGCGTGTGCCTGTAGTCCCAGCTACTCGGGAAGCTGAAGCAGGAGAATCGATTGAACCAGGGAGGTTGTGGTTGCAGTGAGCCGAGATCGTGCCACTGCACTCCAGCCTGGTGACAGAATGAGACTCTGTCTCCAAAAACAAAAACAAAAACACAATACCAATCTGTCTCTTGTTCATATTTTTGATTTAAAATATATTTTGTTTAGTATAATTATGACCATGGCCCTCCAATTTTAGCTACTCTTTGAATAAAATATATTTTCTTTATACTGTTACTTTCAACTTATTTGAGTCCTTAGAGCTGAAGTGACTCTTGTAGAGAGCAAATTGCTGGATCTTCTTTGTTCTTAATCCATTAAATTATTTATTAATTTTCTTTAAGGTATTTAACTTTTTATATTTGAAGTAATTACTGCATTTAATGAAGTTACTTTATTATTTGTAATTGTCTTCTGTGTTTCTTGTAGATGTGTTATTTATCATTTTTTCTCTTACTGCTTTATTTCTGTTTGTTGATTTTGTAGTGACGTGATTGAATTTCTTTCTCATTTGCCTTTGCATACATTCTACAGGTTTTTTTTGGTAATCATCCTGAGAAATAAAGACTTCATAAATCATCTTAAAGTTATGACAGTATAGAACAACTATATTTCAACTGAATGCAAAGTTGTACCTCTTGACACCCCCACTGTTTTATTAATATCGCATATTATCTTTCCTTATGGTCTATGATCACAAATTTATGCAGATTTCTGCCTCATGTTTTAAACTCCATGGCAATATTTTGAAAGTTTTGTGCACCATGATTATGACAGTAGAGATTTCTTTACCTGTTTATATATTTACCTTTAATAGAGAGCTTTCTATTTTCATGTGCTGTTATGATGCTCTGCAGCATCATTTCATTTTTGGACGTGATAGACTCTTTTACACTTCCTTTAGGACTGTTCTAGTGGTTAGTAACACAATCAACTTTTATTTATTTGGAAAGGTTTAGTTTTTTTATTTCTGAAGTGATATTACTCCAGTTGAAGGTTTTTGTTTGGAAGTATTTCTTCTTGTTTAATTATCTTGCCATGTGGGGATTTCTCAGCTACTTTTTAAAAATAACCTCTTTATTACTTTTCTCCTATATTGTTTTTGTAAGACTCCTTTCATAAATATAATGGTCCACTTGACCATGTGCAGTACTTCCCATACTTTTTCCTCCATTCTGCTTAAAAAATTTGTTTTCATCACTCAATATTTATAACTACAATGTCATCAATTGTGTAATTTTTTCTCCTTTATTAGTCTGCTTTTGTGACTGTTGATTAAATTTTTAATATAGCTATTATGTTCTTCAGATTCACAATTGTTGGTTTTTAAAAATCTTTTTATTGATATCTCATTTTCTTTATGTATCACTTCTTCTAATATTCTTTTGTTGTCTATGTTCTGTTTTTGTTCATTAAGCAGTTTTTTCTAATCACATTTTATTGAAAACTGCACTGAATGCTAAATGTCCATCTTTACAATAAACAACTACAGTAACGGTAATTCGCACTACACTAAAACAAAACGTACTTCTGATAGCCATTATTTTTCTGTTTGGGACAGTCTTAAAAATTTCTCTTTTCTTACAAAAACGGGAATGTACCTAATCAAAGGATCAAAACAGGCCATCTTTTTAAACAAAAAGACTATATTCACAAAAGACTATAAATAGAACATGTAACTAATTGATGCAAATCTAATATAATTTGTTAAAATCAGTCACATCCAATACAGCTGAAGTGTTCTTGTATAAAACACAACGTGAAGAAAAGAAGACTTTATCAATGTCTTAAAAAGTGGGTTTGTTCATAGACAATCTGACAAGTTACCATTAAAAGTGTTTCCTGTGACATAAGAAAATGCAACACTATTTTTCTTGAACCCTTTTAGTGCAAGACTTCCCACTAAATAAAATAGCAGAGGATCTGAAACTGAGAAAATATACTTGATTACAAACAGCGTGTGAAACTTAATACTTTTTTTTTTTTTTTTGCATTATCAGAGGCTTTTACTGAACTTACAACCAACTTGCCCGCTCAGTATGCAGTTCAGATGTGAGAGACGCTTCTCTGTACAGGAGCCGGTACTGTCTTCAATCTTATGTGTGAGGATGTCTACCATAGGCAAACAGTTTACTCCATATTTTCTAGTAATGTGATCTTCCTATTAACAAAATGCTGTAACCAGTCCCTGTAGACTGAAGGGACTCAAGTCACAAGATGGGGATTTCCTCCTCATGGTTTTTATTTTGATGTTTGAAGTCTTGATGCAACATTCTGAGCAGGGTGTTCCAGACCTGCTGTGCCCAAGGGACTGATAAAGGAAAAAATTGTATTCATTCTTTGTGATTTGATGCACAGATGAAAAACTAAACACATAATAACGGAAGTTGGTGGTTAATAAATCACATCCTAGTCTTTCAGAGCTTCCGTAAGCAGACGACATCTGCAGTTTTCTAGGTCTTGCAGTTTTAACAGTGCAAAACCAATGAGCATATGTCCAGAATCAGCTAAAAAGAGCGTCAGATTCTTTTTCTCTTAGTTTGTCTATTTTTCACTGTCTCTTCTTCAAAAGTGTATCTGAATGATTACCTTCCGGCATTCTCTGTTATTACTCGTTGGGGTGCTCTCGATTGTCCCCGTGTTTGAGGGCTGGTTGGGAGAGGGTGCTTGGGAAGGATGTGCCACTGTGGGGAGTTTGTGAGTCACCGGGATGCCTCCAGGGAATGTCCCTTCCATGGATGCAGGAAGTCCTCCTGGACCCACGCCCAAGATGCCTGGATGAATTTCTTGCTGGTCTATTTCCCACCAAAGCACAGATGTGACAAAGAATTCCTCGTTCACACAGTTTCTTAAGCTTCCTGGGATGCGACCTGTGATGGCTCGGCGGAGCTCGGTGGCAGCTGTCTCCCTCATCTCCAGTGACACCTGCTGGCTGTAGCAGGCAGTGAGAGGAGTGCAGATGAGATTGGGGGCATCTTTCAACGGACCCTGAGCAAAGCTAAAGGGCTGCGACTCGTTCACGTCGACGACTGCCCTTCGTATCCTGCCTTCCTTGAGGGCCTGTGCTAAGGCTCTCTCGTCCACCAGGCCACCACGGGCTGCGTTCACAAGGAATGCTCCCTGCCTCATCTGCTTTATGGTAAAGTCATTGATGAGGTGGTGCTTAAGTTCGTTGAGACTGCAGTGCAAGGAGATGCAGTCGCTCTGATACAGCCAATCCTGCAGGGTGTAGACCCTCTGCATGCCCAGGGACTGCTCGATCCCATCCTGCAAGTAGGGGTAATAAAACATGACGCTGAATCCAAAGGCTGTGGCTGGAACTGCAAAAGCCTGCTGCGTGCGACCCTAGCCGATGAGGCCCAGCGTCTTCCCACGAATGCGGGCCACTCCCGAGGCCACCTCGCAGATCTGCTCCATGCTCTGAACCCGCTTGCCTTCCCACAGTGCCTGGTACAGCCATGTGTTCCTCCGGTACATGTTGAGAATGTGGCAGTTGGTGGAATTGGCTGTCTCTTCCACGGCTGCGGACGGGATGTTTCACACAGCAATTCCGAGCTCGCTGGCAGCCTTGATGTCCACGTTGTCATAGCCACTGCCCACCCCCACGATCACTCTCAAGGACTTGAAATTTGCCAGAACCTCCCTGGTGAGGTGATTGTGTGGTGCATCATGGGGCCCACGGCTCTGTTTAGAACTTTCTCGTGGATTTCCTGCGTGGACTGCATCATAGAAGGCCACGGTGGCCTTCAGGATGGGCATGTCCACAGTGCAGTCACGGCCGACCAGGAACGCTGCCAGTGAGCGGGGGCTTAGGGGGTCTTTCGTGATCTGGCGGCGAATTCCTTCACAAATTCTGTCCAATCGCTGTCTCTTGACTTAGCGCTTATCCACAGGGCCATTCTTTACGGAACTTTGCAACTCTCAGATCAAAAGGTAAAGCAGTCCTCTAAGAACTTAGGGGAACTCGCAGGAGTCTGTGTGCATGATGCCACTATGAACCCAATATAAATTTGTTCACAAACTCTATAGTTCACACGATGGGCTGTCCGTCTCTTTAAGGGAATATAGCTTCATTGGTTCAAAACCATTTAAGGTGATGAAACCCATTTGGTTGCAACTCAGCCACCATCGCGCAGTCAATCAACGAATCTCACCACGACCCCAGGTCTGGAGCTCCTGGAGTCCGCGACCGCTGGGGGTGGAGGCGGCTTCGGCCTGGTGCAGCCAGGTCCTTGCTCCTGCTCTGAGCCTCGGGCGTGGGTTGGGGGTCCACCCGGGTGTCCCGCATGGTGTCTAAGCTCCTCCCTTGCCGGAGCCCTGCGGACTGGAGGAGTGTTCATATCATTAAGGAGCTTTGATAATTATTTTGATTTTCAAAATTATATAATGCAAAAACAACAACAACAAAGAATAAACCTACAAATTTTGACCTTTAAAAGTCAACAAAGATTTTTAAAGATCAATATTTGTAGGTTTATTTTATTTCTTCAATTGGGACATGTTTTCGTCCTTTTCTGTATGCCCTGCAATCTTTTGATGAGATTCAGAAATTTATAAAACAACTGTGTAATGTAGTATGTACAAACTTGCTTACTACAAGATAATACAACAATCAGTGAGGCTGTACATCCTGGTTCTTCATTAACAGTGTCTTCAATGTGTCTTCTCTGGGCTTGTGTGTGGATTTTTAAGGTAAAGATATTTTTTCCCATTGTTTTCCAGACACTGTGGTCCTTTGCTTCCGCAGTTGATTGTAGTGTTTGTTTCTCTGAGGCTGTGGTAAGCATGTAACTTCTCTTCTCAGCAGTCATAAGTTATCATTCTCATTACTCTGCCATTTCCTTTAGCATTCCCTGTTTGGGGAGACAGAATCTAGTCATCAGCGGTAGCCCACAAAGCCAAACCTTTGAACATATGTTCCACTGTTCTCATTCTATACTGAGGGATATACTAAAAGTTGGACGTTTTCTCTTGAGCCCAATTGCTGTTCTGGGAAAGAAGAAGGGATGTGGTGAATATAAGCCAGACCTGGTTGCCTCGTACAGCAAGCTTTTCCAACCCGCCTTGTTTTGTTTTTGTTATGGCTCTGTTTTGTTTTAGGTTTTTAGCAGCCTGCAGCAATGGTTTTTGGGTTCTGTGTCTAGTGATAAGTGGAAAAGGGGGATGAGGAAAGGGCCTTACTGGCTCAACCAGAAACAGAAACTAAGAACTCATGGCTGTAGTCTCCCGTGGATGCCCCTGTCCTACAGTAAAGGAAATGTCTTTGGAATGTAAAAAGAGAGAGAATAATAGGCAACACCCCAATAGGGAAGAATAAACAAATAACAAAGATGAGAGGTGCAAAGGCCAAGGAGAAAACCTTAAAAATGTGGTGTTGGAAGTTCTGCTTCAAAGAAATTGGTTCTGGAAAATTCTAAATTTACTTCTTTTGCTGCCACAGGTGGAAATTTCCTACCCTATGCTTATTATGCTCTTAAATCTTCTAAGGCTTCTCTGTTCATCCACTAACATTCCAGGGCATTCACAGTGACAGCCAAAGTTCACCTCTTCTTTCTGCTATTCCCATGAAGCTCTTGTGGTCTGAGTGCTTTTCCATTGTTTTTGGGATCTGAGGAAATCTGCACATTTTGTGAGACTTCTATGTTAAGCTGTTTTGTAAAAATCTGTGCCTCATGTCAGAAGTTTGTGAGAGCAAAAGTGCAGGCATTGGGGTTTGGTTCACATATTTCAGAAACACCAAGGACAAATGTTTCCTCCTCATAATTTTCAGTCCTATTATTTCAAATGTGTTCCTGCAAAAAAATCAGAAAAAAAATTTATCAGAGCCCAAAGCACCTCAGCAGATATGATAAAGTTGAATCTTCTATTTCACTTTATTCTTTTTTTCATCTCTGGTAATGTAGGTCAAAAAGTTTTCTTTCCCTTAGTAGAAACTAACTTAGAAATGTGAACTCTCTATGCCAAACATATCACCTATGGAATAGTTTATTGTATCTACTCATCTCAAAGAATTTTTAAGGACCTTAATCCATAGAAAAACTTAGAAACATGCCAGGAATAGAACAAATTCTTAACTGTTACATTATTTCTTAATGAGTTATTTTATTAATTAATCTTATATAAAGCTTAGTGGGACTGTGATCTGTATGTTTTCCCTGTCCTGTTTTTACGTATGTCAAATTAGCCTATAACTTTAGCTTCAGGGGTTTCAGAAAACATACTTGAATTTATGTGTTATATAAAAAGTGAATTGGATGATATGCACATCACATTAAGAAAAGTTTTAGTTTGTGTCTAAGTTCACTGCATAGAAAAACTTATCATTAGTGTTTCCATTTACTTTCCTCAACATTTATCTGAATGATAGTATAATTTATTTCTAATTGCTTATTATATTGTAGTTTTCCACAGCATATTTTACAATATTCATGTTGTTCCCATATGTAAAAATGTAAGGCTTTTCTTTGTTTTAAAAATAATAAATTATAGGCCAGTGCTGTGTTTCATGCTTGTAATCACAGCACATTAAAAGGTCGAGATAGGTGGATCATGAGGTCAGGAGTTCAAGACCAGCCTGGCCAACATGGTGAAATCCTGTCTCTACTAAAACTACAAAAAATATCGCCGGCGAGGAGCGGTGACTCAAGCCTGTAATCCCAGTACTTTGGGAGGCCGAGACGGGTGGATCACGAGGTCAGAAGATCAAGACCTTCCTGGCTAACACGGTGAAACCCCGTGTATACTAAAAATACACAAAAATTAGCCGGGCGTGATGGTGGGCGCCTGTAGTCCCAGCTACTCAGGAGGCTGAGGCAGGAGAATGGCGTGAACCAGGGAGGTGGAGGTTGCAGTGAGCCGAGGTCTCGCCACTACACTCCAGCTTGGGTGACAAAGCGAGACTCCATCTCAAAAAATTAAAAAAAATAAATAAATTATAGCCTTTCCATTTGTATAAAAAGAGGAGTAATATATTAAGAACATAATAAAAAGTGTCTCTAATATCATTGAAATCTTTATTAAAATTTTCTTCTAAATGCTCTTTATGGGAGATTATAATGTATTTGTTGTGCAATTTTGTTACTCTAACCATATGCTAAGAATTCAAAATCTGCTCTTTATGGGAGCCCAGTTATGGTTGAACATGCTAGTTATCTGGAAAGAGTCTTCTTCCGTTGCATGCTTTGTTTATTCGGTATTTCACAGGCTAATGTTTATTTAATTTTATTTTCTAATATTATATATTCTTGTATTTCCTTGTTAGGATAGGCTGCCTTACATTATTTAATTGTGTTTTTAGATTCTGCCTATATATTATAATTTTGTATGACTATATTCAACTGTGTACAGTTGAATATGAATCAGTCAAATATGAATCAACCACACGTCTATTGCCAACATAATTCTCTGTTCATTTGCTTGTATAAACATTACTCATACTTTATTTATGACTTGTGTATTTGTTTAATTAGTTGGTGGTCAATTATTTTTTTAATCCTCTCTGGGTGAGTAGTTGTGGAAATTGTCTTAATTTCCACTTCTATATATTAATGAATCTATATTACTTTTGTGTTGAAGGAAACACTTCTGTGATTTGAAGTTAATTTTTTTTTACCTCTGAACTTTTTACTGGCCTCCTGCTCCCCAAAGGGACCTTGCTTCTGATGGCTTAGCACAACAAAAAGTCTGTATTGTTGGTCTCAGACACCACTTTCCCGTCCACTATCCTGCGGGGGCTGTTCTTTTGGATAGCTTGCAGGTATTTACTGCTGTCCAGAGCATCCAGGAGATTGAAATCCTCCCCGTCTTCTAGCAGGCGGCAGTAAGTGGCAATCTCAGCCTCCAGCTCGACCTTGATGTTCCACAGGTCCTCGTGCTCTTGGGCGTGGTACCTCTCTTCCCGGTTTTGGGATAGCTCTGACTCCAGGTGCAGCAGGATCCTGTTGAGCTGCTCCATCTGCGTCTACCTCCCTTAGGCTGTTCTCCAAGCTGACTTTCAGATATCTCATTGAGTCCAGTTCGATATCCAAGGACTGGACTGTACATCTCAACCCCCTGAGCATCCTCTCAGCAGCTCCGATCTCAGCGGACTGCATGGTGACTACTCTGGTGCTCTCCTCAGTCTGCTGGGACCAGTACTTGTCCAGCTCCTCTCAGCTGTTCTCAGCCATCTCGTCATATTGGGCCCAGATGCCTGTCATGATCTTGCCAAGGTCCTGAGACTTGGGGACATCTACCTCCATGGTCAACCAAGAGCTGGAAATCAGGTATTATAGACCTTTAACTTCCTCCTCATGATTCTTCATGAAGAGCAGCTCTTCCTTGAGGGCCTCCATCTCTGTCTCCAGCAGAGGCTGACTGACACTGGTGTTATCAGTAATGTCGCACTCCACAAACTGGCACATGGCCAGGTCTGTCTCACACTTTAAAGTCATCAGCAGCAAAATGATCATTGTCAGTCTGCAGGATGATGCAGGCACTGTCTGCAGCAGTGGCAAAGATTTTTTTATTAGTCTAATTGTCTGTCTTTATGCTAGTAACATAAGATTTTGATTACTGTAGATTTCTAACATGTCTTGAAATCAGGAATTGTAATGCTTCCAACTTTTTTTATGTGGTCCCCTGAAATTCCGTATACTTTGGGGAGTCACATTCTCTGTTTCTGTCAAAAATAATATTAAGAATTTCATAGGGATTGTATTAAATCTGCAGCTCACTTTGGGCATTATAGACACGTTCAAAATATTAAATTTTTAACTCTTGAACAAAAACATGTTGAAGAATAAATTGTTTAATTATCATGTATTTGTGAATTTTATGAATTTTCTTCGGTTATTGATTTCTAGTTTTAATCCATTTTGGTCAGAAATTATAGTCTGTAGCCTTCAGTTTTTATTATACTTTAAGTTCTAGGATACATGTGCAGAACGTACAGGTTTGTTATACAGGTATACATGTGTTATGTTGGTTTGCTGCACCCATCAACTCAACATTTACATTAAGTGTTCTCCTAATGCTATCCCTTTCATAGCCCCCCACCCCCAAACAGGCACTAGCGTTTGATGTTCCCTGTCCTGTGTCCACATGTTCTCATTGTTTAACTCCTACCTATGAGTGAAAACATGCAGTGTTTGTTTTTCTGTCCTTGTGATAGTTTGCTGAGAATGATGGTTTCCAGCTTCATCCATGTCCCTGCAAATGACATGAACTCATCCTTTTTTAAGGCTGCGTAGTATTCCATGGGGTATATGTGTCACAATTTCTTAATCCAGTCTATCATTGATGGACATTTGGGTTGGTTCCAAGACTTTGCTATTCTGAACAGTGCCACAATAAACATACGTGTGCATGTGTTTTTATAGTAGCATGATTCATAATCCTTTGGATATATACCCAGTAATGGGATTGCTGGGTCAAATGGTATTTCTGGTTGTAGATACTTGAGGAATTACCACACTGTCTTCCACAGTGTTTGAACTAATTTACACTCCAACCCACAGTGTAAAAGCGTTTTTGTTTTTCCACGTCCTCTCCAGCATCTGTTGTTTCCTGACATTTTAATGATCCCCATTCTAACTAGCGTAAGATGGTATCTCATTGTGGTTTTCATTTGCATTTCTCTGATGACCAGTGATGATGAGCAATTTTTCATGTCTGTTGGTTACATAAATGTCTTCTTTTGAGAAGTGTCTGTTCATATCCTTTGCCCACTTTTTGATGGGATTGCTCGTTTTTTTCTTGTAAATTTGTTTAAATTCTTTGTAGATTCTGGATGTGAGTCCTTTGTCAGATGGGTAGATTGCAAAAATTTTCTCCCATTCTGTAGGTTGCCTGTTCACTCTAATGATAGTTTCGTTTGCTGTGTAGAAGCTTTTAAGTTTAATTAGATTTCATTTGTCTATTTTGGCTTTTGTTGCCATTGTTTTTGGTGTTTTAGTCATGAAGTCTTTGCCCATGCCTATGTCCTGAATGGTATTGCCCAGGTTTTCTCTTAGGTTTTTATGGTTTTGGGTCTTACATTTAAGTCTTTAATCCATCTTGAGTCAATTTATGTATAGGGTGTAAGGAAGAAATCCAGTTTCAGTTTTCTGCATATGGCTCGCCATTTTTCCCAGCAACATTTATTAAATAAGAAATCCTTTCCCCATTGTTTGTTTTTGTCACATTTGTCGAAGATCCAATGGTTGTAGATGTGTGATGGTATTTCTGAGGCCTCTGTTTTTTTCCATTGCTCTATATATCTGTTTTGGTACCAGTACCATGCTGTTTTTGTTACTGTAGACCTGTAGTATAGATTGAAGTCAGGTAGTGTGATACCTGCAGCTTTTCTCTTTTTGTGTAGGATTTTCTTGCCTATGCAGGCTGTTTTTTGGTTCCATGTGAACTTCAAAGTAGTTTTTTCCAATTCTGTGAAGAAAGTCAGTGGTAGCTTGATGGGGATAGCATTGAATCTGTAAGTTATCTTGGGCAGCATGGTCATTTTCATGATATTGATTCTTCCTTTCCAGGAGCATGGAATGTTCTTCCATTTGTTTGTGTCCGCTTTTATTTCATGGAGCAGTGGTTTGTAGTTCTCCTTGAAAATGTCCTTCACATCCCTTGTAAGTTGGATTCCTAGGTATTTTATTCTCTTTGTAGCAATTGTTGAGTGGGAGTTCACTCATAATTTGGCTCTCTGTTCATCTGTTATTGGTGTATGGAAATACTTGTGATTTTTGCACATTATTTTGTATCCTGAGACTTTGCTGAAGTTGCTTATCAGATTTAAGGAGATTTTGGGCTGAGACAATGGGGTTTTCTAAATATACAATCATGTCATCTGCAAACAGAGACAATTTGGCTTCCTCTTTTTCCTAATCGAATGTCCTTTATTTCTTTCTCTTGCCTGATGGCCCTGGCCAGAACTTCCAATACTATGTTGAGTGGGAGTGGTGAGAGAGGGCATCGTTGTCTTGTGCTGGTTTTCAAAGGGAATGCTTCCAGGTTTTGCCCATTCTGCATGATATTGGCTGTGGGTTTGTCATAAATAGCTCTTATTATTTTCAGATGTGTTCCATCAATACCTAGTTTATTTAGAGTTTTTATCATGAAAGGCTGTTGAGTTTTGTTGAAGGCCTTTTCTGCATCTATTGAGATAGTCATGAGATTTTTGTCATTGGTTCTGTTTATGTGATGAATTATGTTTATTGATTTGCATATGTTGAACCAGGCTTGCATCCCAGGGATGAAGCTGAATTGATCGTGGTGGGTAAGCTTTTGGATGTGCTGCTGGATTTGGTTTGTCAGCATTTTATTGAGGATGTTTGCATTGATGTTCATCAGGGATATTGTTTTTTTGTTGTGCTTCTGCCAGGCTTTGGTATCAGGATGATGCTGACCTCATAAAATGAGTTAAGGAAGATTCCCTCTTTTTCTCTTGATTCGAATAGTTTCAGAAGGGATGGTAGCAGCTCCTCTTTGTACCTCTGGTAGAATTCCGTTGTGAATTCGTCTGGTCATGGACTTTTTTTGGTTCATAAGCTATTAATTATTGCCTCAATTTCAGAACCTGCTATTGGTCTACTCAGAGATTCAACTTCTTCCTCGTTTAGTCTTGGAGGTGTGGATGTTTCCAGGAATTTATCAATTTCTTCTAGGTTTTCCACTTTATTTCCGTAGAGGTGTTTATAGTATTCTCTGATGGTAGTTTGTATTTCTGTGGGTTTCGTGGTGATATCCCCTTTGTCGTTTTTTATTGCGTCTCTTTGATTCTTCTCTCTTTTCTCCTTTATTTGTCTTACTAGTGGTCTATCTATTTTGTTAATCTTTTCAAAAAACCGGCTCCTGGGTTGATTGATTTTTTGAAGTGTTTTCTGTAACATTCAATTTTTTTTAATTCTGTTAAAAAATTTTTTTCCTTATATTTATTTTTAGGACAATGTTTTATGAGCTTTTGACAAGACTGTGAGTTTTGTTGTTGTGTAGAGTGATCTCTATGCATCTGTTACATCTAACTGTTTTACAGTATTTTCATGTCCTCTGTTTTCTTCTTAACATTCTCTCTGGCTTTATTATTAATTACAGAACTGGTGTATTAAAATATTGTTCTCAGTATATTGCAGTTTTTTGTTTATGTTCTGACAAAATATTATTGATTTATTTTAAAATCTTCATGTGAGGTTCATATATATGTGTGTCTGTATACATAATTAGATAAATACACACAATTATATAAATGTATATTATATAAATGTATATAATTTTCCTAGGTTTCCAGTGAATAAACTTTTTTATTATTTTGTCCTTTGTTTTCTTTGACAGTTTTAACTTATAATTTATTTTATAAACTAAGACAGTTATTTAAAAAGTATTTTGCATAATGTGCTCGTGACGTTGTCTTCATTTCATTACGATTTGCATAAAATTGTTTTGATGCATCTTGCCACTTTTAGTCTGTTTTTGTTACTATATAGTAAGATGGCTCATATCTGTCATCCGAGCATTTTAGGAGATTGAGGTGGGAGGTTAACTTGAGCCCAGAAGTTTGAGACCAGCCTGGGAAACAAAGCAATACCATGTCTCTAAAATAAATAAATAAATAAATAAATTGAATCCCCTGTAGACAGATGTAGTTAGATTTTATTTTATTTTTTATCTCTGTACTCTATTTATGACTTTTGTTTGAGAAGTTTAGTTTGTGAGTAGCTACATAATTTCCTGCATTTGAAGGAATTACTTTTGACACTTTTTGGAGTAAAAGGTAAATATTAAATTTGAACTAAATTGGACATGGACTCAAACAATGGTCACCAAGTCCCGGAACAGGTTGTGTGAGCCCCTTGAAGCCCTCATCCAGCGCTGTTTCAGATAAATCTCTATTTCAATTTATTCCTATATCTTAGTTATTGAAAAACAATAGACAATCAAAAAAACAAGTTGACCTTTTTGTGTTCCTTGAGCCCCGTTGTGAATAGCCTTCCTGACCGGACTTCATGCCAAATAACTCATTACAAAAAGAGCTGGGGTTCCAGACTGCGCCAAAGCTTCATGAGATCTCACGTTGTCTGTGGACGGATGAGTGGCCAATCTGGAGCCCAGGCTGTTGCTTCACAGTCTTGTGGTGAATCCTCCATAGTTTGGTGAGTTTAAATATATATATATATCTTTTCCCTTCTCCCCGTCCCATTGCAACTTGCTTATATATTTGCTTATTATATCTGCATTGCCATTTAAGTGGGATAAAGTTTGTTTGAATCACTGGCTGTGCGTGAGGTGCAGCAGGGAGTCCCAGTTGGTAATTGTAATGCTGAGGGAATTTCCCAGCATTGATGATGCTTGCTTACTTCTTATAAGTTAAAGTGTCAATGTAGGGACTGGTTGTTACAAGAGAAATGTAAGCTGGAAAAGGAAAATTTTAATCTGACTTCCAGACTGACCCTGGTACCATGCCAGGCCTGTCTTGACTGATCAGGCTCAAAGCTATCAGCCTATTGCTGAAAAAGCAGCTGTCCGAGTTGCCCAGTCAGGGTAAAACTGAATAACTAGTCAGTTTTCAGGGCAGAAGAGGGTAAAAACCCAAATCCTATCTCAAGGATGGGAAGTTAACTCTAATAAAATTCAATGGCCTGCACAAAGTGTAAAGTTCCTTGGCATCCTATGGACTGCAGGGAAACAGTCCATTTTACCAAAGGCTAACGCTAAAATACTAGAATTTGCAGCCCTACCACTGAAAAGGAGGTCCAAAATTGTATTGGCTTGTTTGGATTCTGGAGACATCATATTCCCCACTTGGGTAACATATTACAACCTCTGCATGCAGTCACTAGAAAACACTATGAATATCACTGGAGAGAGAAAGACAGCCTGGCTTTTCAACAAGCAAAACAAGCTGAGCAACTGGCCCTGGATCTATGGCCCTTATAGGATGAGTCAACAGAACTGCAAGTAACTGTCCTACATCAACATGCTAATTGGAGCCTTAGGTAGAAACAAGATGGGAAGAAGATACCTTTGGAGTTTTAGACCCAGAAGCTGCCAGAGGCTGGCAAAGCTTATACTCTTTGAGAAGCAGCTGTTGGCCTTCTACTGCGCTTGAAGGAAGCAGAACACCTTTGTTTTAATCATGATGTTTTTATGAGGCCCCAAATTCCTATTATGACTTGGGTCATGAGCTCCCTCAAAACCCATTGGATAGGGTACACTCAAGAATGTAGTATCATAAAATGGAAATGGTACATACAAGACCAGGATAAGCCAGAACTAAAAGCGGTATCATTTTTACTTGAAGATGTGCAAAACTTGCCAACTCAGGAAACCACAGGGCAAGTCCTGCATATAGGGAAGGAAACCTCCCCTGCCCAATGGGGCAAATCCTTTAAAGAACTAAGCCCAGAGGATCAGAAACACGCTTGGTTACTGATAGTTCCACCAAATACATTGATGGGACCTGATGCTGGGAGGCCGTGGCTTATAATCCTGTTAAAAACATAAGCGTTTCTGATGAAGGGAGGGGTGTGAGCAGCCAGCTGGCTGAACTAGAAGCCATCCTCCGAACTATTCAGGAGGAGGCCAGAGCAATTTGTTGCTTGTATACCGACTGTTGGTCAGCAGAAAATGGTCTTACTACCTAGTTGCCCGAATGGCAATGAAACAAATAGTGAATAATGAATAAAGAGGTTTGGAGAAAACAATACTAGGAAGATACCTGAATCCTGATGCACATTACTATTATTGCTGTTTTTCATATTGATTCTCATGCATCTCTGCATTCTCTTGACAGACTAAACAGCAGGTAGATCAACAGGCCAAAATTTCCAGCATAAATGCAAACTTGAATGTGGGTGAATGGATTACAACACATTCAAGCCTGGCGATGAGACACATTATAATGTATGGTGGTATAATTGATAATGATTACCAGGAACAGTTAAAGTTCACTTTACACAATACCACTCCACATTCTTTTGTTACAAGACCGCAGATTCGGGTTGCTCAATTGTCAGTGGTACCTGGTACCTTGTTAACAATTAACCCCTGAGGAAATCTCTGCCCCAACAGAGGCTACGTACAGAACTGGGAAATTAAGATCCACTGGTATAGGTAGCTTAAATCCTGGAACGAAAATATGGATACAGCCTCCATCAGATCCCGCCCCTAAGGCTGTGACCTTGTAGGTATGGGAGCAGAAAATAAAAGGGTAGTACAGTTTCCTAAAAATGAAAAACAATATTATGTTCCCCTTCAGTTTTGTTGTTACAGAGAATAACCTGTCTACTAGTAATCAGTACCTGGGTCATCAGGTCTGAGGTGGAGAGTGAATTCATCAACTGGGCAGCAACCACTGCGACAGAAGCTAACCGCAGTCAATGCTGGCTATGCATCAAATTGCCAGAGGCCACAGGAAATGGACTGCCTTGCAGAGTTGTCCTTGCCAATATTTCTGAATGGCTCTGTCACTACAAATGGGGCCAAAACAACAACACTTGCAATCCAACCTGGACTTCCTTTGCTACTTTAATAACATCTTAATACACTATAATTGTAGTATAACCATTGCTGTCCCCTGGGGGGCCCTCTGGGTATGCAGACCCTATGGGTGGCCTATCTGCCCCCTTATTGGATGGGGAGATTCACTTGGGGGTGCCATTAATTCCATTCACCATCCGGGATAATATTCCCTTCCCCAATAATCTAGATGCTTACAAAGGTAGCTGGTTATGAACGTGCCAGACTCCCTGGTGGTGGAAAACTATCACAGTATTCTCCCTTGCCCCTCGTACAATCCTGCTTCAGCAACAAATTAAAATATTAAGTCCACATATAGTAAAAGCTCCTAAGATAGTAGCACTGGACTTCTGTTGTTATCAGAAGAACTTGTTCAGCTGTGTACTGTTGTGTTGCAAAATCGAATGGCATTAGGTATGTTTACCGCAGCCCAAGGAGGGGTTTGAGTCTTGCTGCATTCTGAATGTTGTGTGTATCCCTGACAGTTCTCGCAGTATTACTCTCCTTGCCGAAGACATGCAAGGACAAGTAAAACAGTTAGAATCTAACCATCAGGACCCCATCATGGACTGGCTGTCAAACTAGCATTGGCGTTGGCCGTGGTGGGTGTGGTTTCTATTAATTGTGCTTTTAATTCTCCTCTGCTCTATCTGTAATCTATACCAGTTGTGACTTCCCCGTATAACTGTAAAAATATTTTCCTATGATTCAGTGTCAAATTGAGGCTGAATGAGGAGGAAAAGTTAAATATTAAATTTGAACTCAATGAACATGGACAGAAACAATGGTCACTAAGTCCTGGAACAGGTTGTGTGAACCCCTTGTGGAATTCATCCAGCACTGTTTCTGAGAAATAGTTATTGAAAAACAACAGAAAATCGCAAAAACAAGTAGGCCTTTTCGTTTTCCTTGAGTCCAGTCACGAAGGGCCCTTGTGAGTGGGCCTCATGCCGAACAAATCGTTACAAAAAAAGCTATGGTCCCAGACTGTGCTGAAGCTTAATGAGACCTCTCCTTGTCTGTGCAGGGGTGGGTGGCTGACTCTGGAGTCCAGGCTGACGCTTTCCTATAGGCAAAGCTCAGGGAACAGAGGAGAGTCACATCAAATAGTTGATGAGTCAAGAGATATGTCACAGGGACTCCTGTATGCAGGGTCCAGACAGGAAATCCACATCGTTTTGGTGCTGAGCCCAGCAATATATTACAATGTCTTCTGAGGGAAGAACCAAGGCAAAAAATTAATGTCACTTTGGTGTTAAGCCCAGTGATACATCACAATTTCCACTGCAGGAAGAACCTAGGCAGAAGAGAATAGTTACATCAGCTAGATGGTGCCACCATTGATATGTCACAATCTCCACTTGAACAGGAATCAGTCAGCAGAAGCAAGTCACATCACCTGAGTGATGGGTGCAGAGATAAGTCACAATGTCCCCTGTAGGCAGAGCACAGAAAGGAGAGCTGCATAACCTGGGTGTTGGACCCAGCAATATAGCTTATATGGTAGACCCCTGGCAGAAAAATTACAAAACATGGGTGCAGCACCAAGTATATGTTATAATGTCCCCTGTGAGCAGCACCAAGGCAGGACAGGAGACTCGCATCACTTGGTTGCTAAGACAAGTGATCTGCTACAATCTTCTTTGTAGGCAGGGTGCACACACTTTTTTTAGGTGGTGAATGCAGAGAGATGTCCCAAGGCCCCCTGTGAACAGGGCTCAGGCAGTAGCCATCAATTCCCTAGGTATTATGCCCAGCAGTATGTCACAATATACAAAATATGCAGGGCCCAGGGAAAAGAGGAGAGTCACATCATGTGGGTGCTTGTCCCAGTGATTTGTTACAATCTCTCTTTTTGACAGGACCCAGGCAGAAGAGGGGGGTCATAGGTGCTGGGTTCAATAATGTCACAATTTTATCATGGGCTGGGCTACGCAGAAGAGTCAAGTCACTCACGAGCTGGGCCGAGATATATTTCACAGTTATACCTCCAGGAAAGTCCAGGGCTGAGACTGACAATCCTGCACATGTCCCATATCTAGGTGTGAGAGCAAACACATTGTGTTTGTTGGGTCTAAGTGTAGAAGTCACAGTCTCAATGGTGCACTGGATCTGTGCATGGCAGCTTCAGTCTTTCCCGAGGACCGTGGCCCCTTAATGGAGTCACAGCCTCACGTGTTTGCTGAATGTTGGTTTTAGAGTCACTGACTCAAACATGGATCGCATCCACTTATGAGAGTCAATTATTCATCTCTCAACCGCCTCCAGGTGTGAGATTTGGAACCTCAACAATGGGCTGTGTTCATGTGAAAAGATGACAATTTTTACTCTTGGCTCAGCGTAGATATGAGTGTCACAATCTACTTTTGTTCTGGGCCCTGTCAGGACACTCTCTTCACCATATGCAGCCTTTATAGAGTATGCATGAGTGTAACAATTCTCTCTGAAACCTTAAGCAGGCACGGACCCCTCCTTGTACCTTTAGCTTTAAGCCCTGGTATGACAGTCAACATCTTTCTACTTGGATGGGTCCAAATAAGAGTTCTTAACTGCCTATGAGCTGCGTTTAAAAATGAGTCACCATCCCACCTGTGGCTGGATGTTCACATATGAAAGTCACAATCCCAGTTGTGGACTGTGTCTGCATGTGTAATTCAGGACCTCAAGAGTGGGCTCTCTCCACGTGTGATAGAGACCATCCTGAATATTGGTGTGGTGTGCATCTGAGAAGTATAATCTCACCAGTGTGGCGAGCCCTGTGGTGACAATTTCTCTACCATAGTTTACACAATATGCAAGACAGTGGTACTCCTCCGTGTGACGTATCACTGGGCCTTGCACACAGGTAATGTGAGTCTCCTCTCCTGCCTTGGAACGCTCACAGGAGGCATTGGGTCATACCACTGAAGCTGATATTCAGGTTATGTGCCTGTCTTTCCTGTGCTCTGTCCATGGGCTTTTGTGACATATTTCTGGGTCCAAAACACAGGTGACATAACTCTCCTGTCTGAACTCTGCCTAGAGAGGGCATGGTGGCATATCTCTGCACCAGCCACTAGATGATGTGACTCTATCTTCTGTCTAGTCTCTGCCTACAGGGTGAATTGTGACTTATCACCCGGCGCAGCATTTAGCTAATGTGACTCTTCCCTTTTTTCAGGTTCTGCCCTCGGGGGAGATTGTGACATATCGATTTGTAAAACACCAAAATGATTTTACTCTTTTATCTTGGCTCTGCCCTCAGAAGGCTTTGGGATATATTGCTGAACAAGCACCAAGGTAATGTGATTGTCCTACCTGAACCCTGCCCACAGGGAGCATTGTGACATATCTCTGAGCCCATGAACTATTTGATATGGCTCTATTCTCTTACCTGGGCTTTCGCCATGAGAAAGATTGTGAAGTATTTCTTGGTCCAGTGCTTAGGTAATGTGATTCTCCTCTCCAGCCTGAGACATGCCCACAGAAGTAAGAGTGACATCTCTGGGCCTAGCCCACAGGTGATGTGAACCTTATCCCTTGTTTCTGCCCAGGGGAGTCATTGTGATGTATCTCTGAGACCATTATTAGAATGATGTGACTCTCCTGTTCTTACTGCGACCTGTCCACAGTGGGGATGATGATGTATCACTTAGGCCAGCACATATGTGGTGTGACTCTCTTTTCATGCCTGTGCCCTGCCCCCTGGGTTAATTGTGACATATAACTGGGCCCCTCCCATAGGTTATGCAACATATCCCTGTGATAACACTCTTTGTACCATTTAAGAGCTTTATATAATATGAGAGAGTTGTATTCCTCTAAGACCTTCATACAAAACGAAGAGTTAAGACCTACCGGTTTTCCAAAGCCTCCCTATGAAAAACAGTATTTCTCTTAGTGGCAGGTTTGAGGTATGAGAGTCATTATTACACCTGTGAGCTGGCCAAGATATATGTTTCAATCTCTTCTGTGGGAAGGGAGTGAGCAGGAGAGTCACGTCACCGGGATGCTTGGCCTGAGATCTGTCAATATCTTCCCTGATGGCAGGGAACAGGTAGGAGAGTCACATACCTAAGGCTGGGCCAGGGATATGTAACAATGTTTTCTGAGGTCAGAGGCTAGGAGGGGAGTCCCATCACTTGTGTGCTCACAGGGGATATGTTACAATCCCCTCCTGAAATCAGAGTACAAGCAGCAGAGTCAAATCACCTGAATATTGAGCTCAGTGATATGTCACCACACTCCCTGTGGGCAAGGCCATAGCAGGAGAGAAACATCACCTGATTACTGATTACTGGGCCCAGTGATATGTCAGAATCTTTCCTGTGGGCAAGGTGCAGGCAGAAAGGAGAGTCACATCATCTGGTGTTGGAAGCAGAAATATGCTACAAGGCTCACTGTGGACAGAGTTCAGGCAGGAGCCTCTAATCTCCTAGGTGTTAAGTTCAGTGATACGTTACAATGCTCCCTGTGGGCAGCACGAAGTCAAGAGAATAGAGCCACATCACCTATGTTCTAGGTCCAATGATATGTCCCAATTTTATTTGTGAGCTGGGCTTAAACAGAAGAGTCTAATCACTCAGGTGCTGGACAAATGTGTATGCTTGTCACAATGACACCTGCAGGAAAGTCCAGATATGGGATGAATCCCGCACATATTCTGGTTTTATGCATGAGAGTGAACACCTTCTGTATGTTTGATCTAAGTACACAAGTCACTATCTCAATAGTGGACTAAATTTGTGCATGGCAGCCCCATTTTCTCTTGCGTACTTTGTCCCCTAATTGAAATCACAGCTTCCTAGGTGTGCTGACTCATGATCTGAGAGTCATCAACACATCTGTGACTCTCAAATATGAGAGTCAATTTTTCAACTTTTCAATCTGCCTTTGGGTATGGGATTCAGAGCCTCAAAAGTGAACTATGATCATGTGAAAGAACGACAATCTTTAATGTTGGCTGGGTGTGCATCCCAATGTCATTATATTACTGTGTGCTGAGCCCTATTAGGACTTTCTGTGTTGCACCTGACGGCTTTATGTTGTATGCATGACAGTCTCAATTCTTTCAGAGATTTTCATGCTGGTATGGACCCATGATCAAACCTGTGGCCCTAAGCCTATATATGAGTCAACATCTTTACAATTGGCGGGGTCCAGATAAGAGAGTCATCAGCTTTCTATGCGCTGGGTTTATAACGAAGTTCCCATTCCAACTCTGGCCAGATCTTTACATATGAGATTCGCAATTCCAACTATAAACTGCATTCATGTGTGAAATTCAGGACCTCACCAGTGGGTTCTGTTTATATGTGAGGGTGAAAATCATAATGGTCAGGAGGGTTCAGGGTGCGCATAGGAGTAACAAATTTCACCTGTGTGCTGGGCCCTGTGATAAGACTCTCTACCACCTGAGGACTTTCTGTAATATATGAGAGAGTGGATGATCTTAGCGAGGAGACCCAGGGTTTTTTTTCATTTCCCTAAGTGTAGCTAGGAGAAGCAGTATCTCTTCTATTGGCTGGTTTGACATATGAATGTCATCATTGCACCTGTGTGTTGTGTTCCAAGATATATGTAACAATTACACCTGCATATAGGAAGAGAGCAGGAGAGTAAAATCAGTTGGATGCTGGGTCAGTGATATGTCGCTTCCCTGAGGACAGGGACCAGTCAACAGTCACATTACCTGAATGTTCAGGCATTGGTATGTTGCAATCCACTCCTCACATTAGGAACGAGGCAGCAGAGACACATCACCTGCATGCTGGATCTAGCAATATTTCACAATCCTCTCTGTGGTCAGGATGCAGGCAGAAGAGTCACATCTTCTTGGTGATGAATGCAGAAATATGTCACAAGCTTCACTGCACGTAAGGTAGAGGAATAAACCTCTTATTCCCTAAGTGTTGGGCCCAGGGATATGTCACAATACCCAAAATATGCAAACCCAGGCAAAAGAGAACAGTCACATTACCTTGGTGTTAGGGTCAGTGATATGTCACAATCCCCTCTTTTGGAAGGGCCCAGGTAAGAGTGGAGAGTCACATCGCCTAGGCAATGAATAGAAGAGTATGTCATAATACCCCTGTTGGCAAGACCTATGCAGAAGAGTCACATCACCTATGTGTTCAACCCAGATATATGTTACTGTACACCATGTATGCAGGGCCCAGGCAAGAGAAAAGGCCACATCACCTCGGTTCTGGGCCCAGCAATATATCACAATTCCCCCTAAGAGGAGGTAACAGACAGCAGAGTCACATCACCTAAGACTGAGGAGCAGAGCTATATGGTAGTTCCCTGTGTGTGTGGGCCCAAAAATAGAGGAGAGTTACATCACCTGAAGACTGTACCCAGCTATAAGTCTTAATCACCCCTGTGGCCAGCACCCAAGCATGAGAAGAGAGTACCATCATGTAGGTGCTGTGCCAGGCTGTATTTCACAATCTCCACTATGGATAGGTTTCAGGGGGAAGAGGAGCATTACATTATCTAGTTGATGAGTCTAGAGATATGTCAAAATGACCCCTCTGGAGACACCAGGATGCAGAATCACATGACCTGTGTGCTGGGTCTAGGAATAACCCACTCTCCCTTCTGTAAACATGGCCATGGCAGAAGATGAGGGTCACATATTTAAGGTGATGAACACGGAAAGATTTCACAAGGCTCCCCATAGGCAAGACCCAGGCAGGACTTTCCCTTCCCTCAGTTGTTGGGAGGAGAAATACATCACAATGTGGGGCTCAAGCAGAAAACAAAAGAAATATCCCCTATTTTCAGGGCTCAGAATTATGTCACAATCTCTCCTATGGGCAAAGCCTTTGTTAAAAAAGGAGAATCTTGTCAAATAGTTGATGGGCTCAGAGATATGTCCCAATGCCATATGTTACAAATTGCTGTAGGCAGGCTTCAGGCAGGAGACTCACCTTGGTGTTGGGCCCAATAATGTGTCACAGTGCTTTCTGCTTGCAGAGCACAGTCAACAGAGTAATGTCACTGAGAAGTTGGACCCACCAATGTATCACAATCTCCTTCCAAACAAATCCTAAAAAACAAAAGAAGAGTAACATGAGATAGGTGCTGGGCACAGTGATATGTCACAATCCTTTCTTTAAGCAGGGACTAGGCAGGAGAAGAAAATCACGCCACATGGGTGATGGGCTCATAGATATTTCACAATGTCCCCTTAGGCAAAGCTCAGGAAGGAGAGGTAAATCATCTAGGTTTTGGATGCAACAATATGTCAAAATGGCCATTGTGGACTGGGCACAGGCAGAAGAGTCACATAACATGGATGTGGGACCCAGCAATACATCACAACACCCCTGTGAGTAGCACTAATGCAAGGCAGAAAACATACATTACCTAGGTGCAAGGCCAAGTGATATGTCCCAATGTCCCCTGTGGGCAGCACCAAGGCAGGAGATAAGAGTCACATCATTTAGGTGCTGGCTTCAGTGATATATCAGAATCCCATCTGTGAGCTGGACACAGGAAACAGAGCTAAAACACTCAGGAGCTGGGCAGAGATGTATGTCACAATCCCACCTGCAGAAAGCGACAGGGATGAGATGAACAACTCCACACATGTCCGGATTCCAGGTATGAGAATTTGTATGTTTGGCCTAGGTACAACAGTCCCAATCTCAACAGTGAACTGGATTCATAAATGAGTCTTCTCTGGCTGAGAAGAACTTCTCCCCTTAGGAGAGTTACAGTCTCACAGATGTAATGAATTTTGGTTTGAGAGTCACCCACCTACCTGTGGACAAGATCCATATATGAGAGTCAATTTTCTCTTTCTTTCTTTCTTTCTTTCTTTCTTTCTTTCTTTCTTTCTTTCTTTCTTTCTTTCTTTTTTCTTTCTTTCTTCTTTCTTTCTTTCTTTTTCTTTCTTTCTTCCTTCCTTCCTTCTTTCTCTTTCTTTCTTCTTTCATTCTTTCTTTTCCTTTCTTTCTTTCTCTTTCTTTCTTTCTTTCTTTTCCTTCCTTCCTTCCTTCCTTCCTTCCTTCCTTCCTTTCTTTCTTTCTTTCTCTCTCTCTCTCTTTCTTTCTTTCTTTCTTTCTTTCTTTCTTTCTTTCTTTCTTTCTTTCTTTCTTTCTTTCTTCTTTCGGTCCCTTGAGACGGAGTCTCACTCTATCGCCAGGCTGGAGTGCAGTGGGGCGATCTCGGCTCTCTGAAACCTCTGCCTCCTGGGTTCAAGCAACTCTCTTGCCTCAGCTTCCCGAGTAGCTGGGATTGCAGGTATGTGCCATGACGCTCAGCTAATTTTTGTATTTTTAGTAGAGATGGGGTGGACAGGCACAGTGTCCCATGCCTGTAATCCCAGCACTTTGGGAGGTCGAGTTGGGTGGATCACCTGAGGTCAGGAGTTTGAGACCAGCCTAATCAATATGGTGAAACCCCGTCTCCACTAAAAACACAAAAATTAGCTGGGAATGGTGGCATGAGCCTGTACTCCCTGCTACTCGGGAAGCTGAAACAAGAGAATTGTTTGAACCCGGGAGGCGGATGTTGCAGTAAGCCTAGATGGTGCCACTGCACTCCAGTCTGGGTGACAGAGCAAGACTCTGTCTCAAAATAATAATCATAATCATAATCATAATCATAATCATAATCATAATCATAAATAGTAGAGAGACGTGGTTTCACCATGTTGGCCAGGATGGTCTTGATCTCCTGATCTCATGATCTGTCCGCCTCGGCTTCCCAAAGTGCTGCGATTACAGGTGTGAGCCACTGAGCCACGCCGGTTGTGCCCATTTTTGAGGATGGCAACTTTTATTGTCACCAGAGTGTGCATGAGTGTTAGAATCTCACCTGTTTGCTGGGCCCTGTTAGGACACTATGTACCTCCTGTGGGCCTTGTAGAGTATGCATTAAACATAATCCACTCTGAGGTCTTCATGCTGATATGAACCTATGATCATACCTGTGGCCATAAGTCCAGGTATGAGAGTCAACATCTCTCCAGCTGGCTGGATCCAGATAAGAGGATCTTTACTTGGCTGTAAACTGGGTTCAGAAATAAGTCACTATCCCCACTGTGACTGGATGTTCACAAATGATAGTTACAATTCCAACTGTGGACGGCATTCAGGTATGAGGTTTAGACCTCCCTAATCACCTCTGTTCCTGTGTAGGAATGAGAATTCTGATGATTGGTGGGTGTGCACACAGAGAACACAATCTCACCTGTGTTCTGGGCCCTGTGATGACACTGTACCATCTGAGTGCTTTACAGGATATGCAAGAGTGCTTACTTTCTCTGACCTTCATAGTAAGAGAAGACCCATAATTTTGCAAGTTTTGTTAAGCCTGGCTGTGAGAGAAAGTATCTCTGCTATTGGTTGGTTTAAGGTATGAATGTCATCGTCACACCTACATGCTAAGCCAAAATATATGTGACAATCTCACATTTGGGTAGTCAGAAGCAGGACAGTCTCATCACCTGGGTCTGTGTCAGGGACATGTTGCAGTCTTCCCTGAGGACAGGGACAAGGCAAGAGAGTCACATCCCTAAGAGTTCTGCCAGGGATATGTTCTTGTTCCCTCCTGAAAGCACGACACATGCAGCAGAGTCACCTCACCTGGGTTCTGGGCCCAGTGATATGTCACAATTTTCCCTGTGAACTAAGCACAGGCAGGTGAAACACATCACCTGTTTGCTGGGCCCAGAAATATGCTACAATTTTTCTTGTGAGCAGGGTTCAGGCAGAAATGGGGGGGGATCATATTTTCTAGGTGATAAATGCAGAGCTATGTCACAAGGCCCTCAGTAGTCAGGGTCTTGGTAGAAGCTTCCTATTGACTAGGTGATTCGCACAGTGATACATCACAATAGCTAAATTATGTGGGGCCCAAGGCAAAGAGGAGAGTTGCATCACCTAAGTGATGAACAAAAAATACTTCATAGTACCCATGGGGAAATGGCCCATGCAGGTGAGTCACCTTACCTACGTGTTGGACCCAGTGATATGTCACAATACACAATAAATGTAGGGCGCAGCCAAGAGCGGACAGTCAAATAGCTCAGGTGCTGGGCCCGGTGATACATTGTAATCTCTCTTTGGTCAGAGCCCTACAGTAGAAGAAACTCAGTTCACCTCGGTGCTGAGGTCAGCCATATGTCACAATACCCCTGAGAAATGAGCCCAGGCAAAGAGTCACTACATTTAGGTGAGAGGCCCACAGATATTTTGCAATGGCTCCTGTGGGTAGCACTCTGTAAAAAGACAGTCACATTACCTAGAGTCTGCCCGCAACGATTTGTAACAATCCCTGCTATAAACAGGTAGCAGTCAGGAGAAGTGAGTGCCATCACCTGGGTGGTCAGTGTAGAGATATGTCACAATGCCCCCTGTAGGCAAAGTCTAGACAAGAGTTACATCACCTGGGTGTTGGACCCAGCAATATGTCACAATGGCTCATGTGGGCAAAGCACAGGACAGAGTCACATAACAAAGTGCCAGGACCAGTGTTAGGTCAGGATACCCATTATGGGCAGTGCCAAGACAGGAGAATAGAAGCATATTAATTAGATGCTGGATTCAAGGATATATCACAATCTCATCTGTGGGCTACACCCAGGCAAAAATGTCAAATCACTCAGGAGCTGGCTAGAGGTGTACGTCAGAATCACACCTGCAGGAAGGTCCATGGATGAGATTAACAATCCCACATAAGTTCCGGTTCTGGGTATGAGAGTGAACGCCTCCTGTATGTTGCATCTATGTGCATAAGTCACAATCTCAATGGAGGAATGGGTTTTTTCCATGAGAGCCTTAATCCCTTTTGAAAACGGAGTTATCTTAGTGGATTCACAGCCTCACAAGTGTTTTGGATCTTGGTCAGGGAGTCACAAACCCACTTAAGGACAACATCCACTTTTAAGAGCCAATTTTCCAACTTTTGACTGCCTCTGGGTGTGAGTTTCAGAACCTCAATTATGGTCCATGTTCGTGTGGGAGAATGACAATTTTGACAGATGGCTGGGCTCAGGCAGGAGCCTTTCATCCTGCAGGTGTTGAGACAAAGGATATGATACAACACCTAAAATATGCTGGGTGCAGGCAAAAGAGGAGACTCATATTAGCTGGTTGCTAGGTCCAGTTATATGTCACCACCTCCCTTTTTGGCAGGGCTAAGGAAAAAGAGGAGAGTCAGAGCTAAAGAAATGTCATAATGTCCCTGTGGGTAGGGTCTATGCATAAGAGTTGCATCACCTAGTCATTGAACCCAGCCATATATTAGAATACATAATGTATACAAGGCCCAGGCAAGAAAGGAGAGAATATCACATAGGTACTGTGTCCAGCAATATGTCACCATACCCCCCAGAGGGGAGGCTCCAGGCAACAGGGCAACATTACCTAAGTGAAGTGCCCAGAGAGATGTTTCAATGCCCCTGGTGGGTAGGATTTTGAAAAACGAGAAGTTACAGAACCTAGGGGCTAGGCCTAGCTATGTGTCACATTCATCTCCAAGACAGAGCCCAGACATGAGAGAAAAGTCACATGATGAAGGGCATGTAATATGTCACAATCCTTATGTGAGCAGGCCCTAGGAAGAAGTAGAGAGTCACATAGTCTAGATGATGGGCCCAGAGACATTTGACAATGACTCCTGTAGGTAGGGACCAGGCAGAAGAATCACATCACCCCTGTGCTGTGCCCAGTTATAAGTCACACTTCCTTCTGTGGGCATGCCCCAGGCAGGGAGAATTCACATCATCCCAGTGCTAGACCCAGGGATATGTCACAATCTCTCTTATGGGCAATGCTCTGGTAAGAGAGGAGAGTTGCATCAAATAGGTGATGCACCCAGAAGTATGTCACGATGCCTTCTGTGAACTCGATCCAGGCAGAAGATTCACATCAACATCAACTTGGTGCTAAGCCCAGCAACGTGTCACAATCCCTTCTGTGTAAAGGGACCAGGCAGGAGAAGAGAATCACATCACCTGGCTGATGAGCACAGAGATATGTCACAATGCCCCTGTAAGGCAGGGCCCAGGCTGTTGGGTTACATAGCCTGAGTAGTGGACCCAGCAATATTAACACAGTGTCCCATATGGGCAGTGCACAAGCCGGAGAGTCACATAACCTGGATGCGAGGCCAAGCTATATATAACAACGCTTCCTGAGGGCAGCGCCAAGGCAGAAGAGGAGACTCACATCACCTGGGTGTAAGGTCTAGCGATATGTCAAACTGCTCACTGTGGGCAGTGCCAAGGAAGGAGAATAGAGTTACATCCTCAATGTGCTGGATCCAGCAATATGTTAATATCCCATCTGTGGGCTGGGTCCATGCGAGCCCGTCAAGTCACTTAGGTGCTAGGCACTGGGAAATTTCACAATGGAAGCTGCAGAATGGTCCAGGAATTAGATTAACAATCCCACAGCTGTCTCAGTGGTAGGCATGACATTCAACACCTCCTGTATGTTGGGTCTAAGCCCAAGAGTAACCATCTCAACACCAGACTGGATTTGCGCATGACAGCCTCAATTCCTCTGCAGACTGACCTGTGTTCCCGTGAGAGGATGACAATAGTTACTGTTGGCTGGGTGTGCATATGAGTGTGACAATCTCACCTGTGTGCTCGGCCCAGTTAGCACGCTCTGTGTACTACCCAATGGCCCTATACAGTATGCATGAGAGTCGTAATCAACTTTGAGACCTTCCTAATGGTAGGGACCCATGATCATACTTGTAGCATTAGGCCCAGGGATGAGAGTCAACATCATTACAATTAACTATGTCAGGATAGGAGACTCATCCCTTGCCTATGAGCTGAGTTTAGATGTGGGCCACCATTTTAACTCTGGTTGAATGTTTATATATGAACACAGGCCTAGCACCAATGTGATGTGAGTCTTTGGCCTAGACACTTCAAGCAGGAGGCAATGTGACATATCTCTGGGTCTATCAACTATTTGATATGACCTTCCTTTTTTACCTGAGCTTTCCCCATAAAAGAGATGTGACATATGTCTAGACCCAGCACCTGGGTGATGTGGCTCTTCTTTATTGACTGAGCCCTGTGTATTTTGGGTATTCTGACATATCCCTGTACCTAACTTCTGGAAGATAAGAAGATCCAACATGGGCCCTGCCTAAAAAGTCTCTTGTGACAAATTTCTACATGAATCACCTTGGATATTTGACTCTTCTCTCTTACCTGAGCTTTGCCCATAAGAGAGATTGTTACGTACCTCTGCAGCAAGCACCTAAATGCCGTGACTCTTCTTTCTTGCCTGGGTCATGCCCACAGATGAAAGGTGGCTTATCGCTGTGTCCAGCACACCGGTTATGTGATTATGCTGCCTGATCTCTTCTCACAGGAGCTGTTGTGACAAATCCCTGGGCCCAGAAATTATTTAATACGACTCTCCTCAATGACCTTAACTTTGTGCATGGGATAAATTGTGACATACCTCTGGATCCAGCACCGAGGTGATGCGACTCTCCTTTTCTGCATGGGCTATGCTTACAAGAAGGAGGCTGACTTATTGCTGTGTTGACAACTGATGTGATACCTCTGTTCTTGTCTTCCTAGATTTTAAGAATTTAAACAAGAGACACAAAGAAAAAAAGTACAGCATAATTTATTGGAAAAGAAAATATTTGAAAGTTAAGTGCAGAATACAGTACACCCTGAGAGAGATACTCCAGGGCTGACTGCTCATAAGAGTGAGACAGCGTGGACTGTCGCTGGAGAAACCCCTTTATGGCAGTTTTACATTATTATTAATAAGGAGGAGGGAAGAGGAGTTGCTAGTAAACATGTTCTCTGTGGTATTCTGGGTGCATATGCGCAGTAGCTGTACATGCTTGTTCATATGTTGCATGTCTCGTTAGCATCTTATATTTCCACCCAGGAGTGTATTTCTGTGTGTTTGTTTGTTTGTTTGTTTGAGACAGAGTCTCGCCGTGTTGCCCAAGCTGGGGTGCAGTGGTGTGATCTCTGCTCACTGCAACCTCTGCCTCCTGAGTTCAAGCCATGCTCGTGCCTCTGCCTCCTGAGTATCTGGGATTACAGGCATGCACCATCATACCCTGCTAATTTTTGTATTTTTAATTTAGACGGGGTTTCTCTATGTTGGCCAGTTTAGTCTCGAGCTTCTAGTTTGAAGTGATCCATCTTCCTCAGCCTCCCAAAGTGCTGAGAGTAGAGGTATAAGCCACCGTGCCTGGCTAGGGGGTGCATTGTTTGCTATTAAAATAAGCAAAATTTAAGTTTGAGGGCAGGTGAAATCAAAATACACATGCTCTCTAGAACAGAAAGTCCTTAATGAGGATAGCTTTGCTCGAATAAGCCCAATTACAATGCGAATGCTACGGCTTATTGTGTTGGCTGTACAGTCACCATGGTTTCTGTATCCTGAGATCATGGTCATTTTCTGTACTATCTATTCTGCCTCAATTTCCCCCTAAGAGATTTTAGGGCAATAACCATATTGGAGGTTGAGGGGTTAGACCACTTTTTCTGGAGCTGTTTCCTGCTGAGTGGGTGTTACTTCTGCCTAGCCTGGGCCTTAAAGTTTCTTCCTGTGTGATCTAACAGGGTGTAAACCATGTCATTCGTGGAACCAGTGGGAAGATGTTGGCAGCCAAAGATTGAAAGCCTTGCAAACCATCATGCAAACATGGAGCTGCCACAAGCAACATAGCAGGAAATCAGTTAACATTTTAAACAAAATTGGAACAAAAGTAGAAGTTGAAAATATAATAATGACGGGTACTATTAAAGAGAGCAAGGCAGGCAATGGACATTGCTTTCATGTTCCCATGGAAGTTCCTAGAGATTCAATTTTGTCTGCCTGGGTGATGATATTATTAATATTTTCTTGGAATAAACCAGAATGATTGATCTCAAAAAACAGCATTCTTCTTTTAGATATAAACATGTTCCTCTTTGCTTGGCTGGGAGAAGATCCCAGGCTCTTTGATTTTGTTGGAATGCAGTGGCCATGGAGTCCAGATGTTGTTGAAGTCTATTGAGGCCCTCTGCTGCCTGTTGGGGACACACTGAGATTTTCTGAGATAGTTTATACTGGATTCCCAAGGCTCCACCTTATGGTGACATTTGTGCTGCAAAAGTATTCTGCTTTAAAATGGTGAAAGCAGCAAAAGTTTTAAGTCTTTTCTATTTTTCGCAAATAAGAAAAAGTTTTGTGCAGCTGAGTTGGCAGCAGTCATTGGGTCCATTTATGGATGGTAAAGTTGAATGGTGGTCAAAGTTAGAGACTGGAAGGCTTCAGTAAACGCGCTGAAGTTGTCTGAGAGCCATCAGAGCTGTTGCTTACATTGGATTAGATCATTTACTGGGAAGAGAAGAAGCACTCTGATGGTCCTCTCTCCATTTGAGACTTTCTGTAAGCGGATCAAATTCTCTGGCCCTGCATGGTGTGAAGCTCCACTGTGAGTAACTGCAGCTGGACTGGTCTCTATTGTAACTGGCAAAGGCTGATAGAGGAGCATAAGGAGGAGGTGAAACAAGCTTAGATTCTACAGAAGACTCTGATAGTGTGGGGACGCTGGGGATTCTAAAGCAGGTGTAGGCCTCTGAGGGCCCCTATCTGGAGCTGGTATTAGGCTGTGGGGTCTGGGGTCACTTGTCCATAAAACAAATGATCTTCTACTGGATCTGAGGGGCTTTGTGGCTTACTAGGCTTTAGCCCACAGGTGCTGCATGGAGCTGGGTTTTGTTGTCGGGCCAGAAAGTCTTGCACATAGGATACTTCAGACCATTTTCCCTGATTACTACAGAAAAGATCTAGCTGTATGATGGTGTTAAATTTCACAGTCTCATTCTCCAGCCATGTTTTGTCAGCTAATCTGTATGCAGGCTAAATAGTTTTACAAAAGAAGATAATTGTTTTTTTGCTTCATTTAGCCAAAAGCTGTTTCAATTTTTAAATATACATCCCAGGTGTGTTTCAGTGACAGTAGAGGAAGTGATTCCCATGGTGCCGAGAGAATCCTGCAAACGACAGAACATGTACTAAAGTCCAGGAGGCTGTGGGCAGCCCCATGAGCCAAGTGGAACCACCAAGTTGTCCAACTCATCCCCTTGAAACCCCATTAACTGAAGCTCTAGGAGGTCATAGGCATTTGCCATGCACCGTCCTAGCTCTCACCAGCGCTGGACATCTCCAGCCCTGCCGAGATGACCCCCACTGCTCGCTGGGGGGCAGATGTCTGGCTGACAAGCCTTTCCCTAATTCAGTGGTTTGCCATTTATGATGCCCAATTATAACACCTGCAATGCTCAGATTCAATCCCTATGACTGGGCCTATCCATGACTGTGCATCTTTTGTTCAGCAAAGAAAGCCTGTTGAAGAACAATTTCAAGGAGCTGGGAAATGCATAAAGCCTAAAGGGACAGGGTTTCCCCAGAACTTTAGTGAAACAGTGCTGGAAGAACCAGCGATAGTTAACCAGGTAGTCTGGAAGTGCCACAGTATTCACGGCAAGTAAAGGGAAAGTGAAATCAGTGAAGCGGACAGACCTCTCTCCAGGCCATGGCAAAAGAAATGTTGATGGCTGATGTAATACCTTGATTCTTATTTTCTTAGTTTAAAAGAATTCAAACAAGAAACACACAGCAAAAGAAGTACAGCATAGAGTAATTTATTGCACACAAAAAAAGAAAAGACTACTTTGAAAATTAAGTGCAGAATAGACGGTACATTCTGAGAAAGAGATTCCAGGGCAGGCTGCTCATAAGAGTGAGACACCATTAATTGTTACTGGAGAAACCCTCCTTCTGGGGGTTTTGCACGATTATTCATAAGAAGGTGGAAAGAAGTGTTAGTGTAAGCATGTTTTGAGTGGTCTTCTGGGTGCACATGTGCACTAACTGTACATATTTGTGCATACATTGCATGTCTCATTAGCATCTTAAGTCTCCACCTAGGAATGTGTTTTTACTATTAAAATGAGCAAAAGTTCAGTTTGAGGACAGATAAAATCAAAATGCACATGTTCTCTAGAAGTAAAAGTCCCTACTGAAGATAGCGGGTTTCAAACGACCCCAAGTGCTCCACATCTTAAATGTCGCTCCAACAAAGCTGGAACACTATCTGCTCCTGAGGGATCCGGTCCCATTTGTGTTTCTGAGACACTGGCAAGTCAGGAGTGACTTGAGATGAGACCGATGATTTCAAGTGTAAAATGCCTAAATAGTCAGCAGCTTCAGGTTTCATTTTGGAGCTTGTCCACTTAAATGGGTTGATGAAAATGGCTCACAAGACTCATGCCTCGGAAATGGGGTTTTCTCCTTTGCTCTTAGCAGATTTTGTGCAACCCAATAATTAACCTTCCTGATGCCTCAACTTTCACATTCGTGAAAAAGGCGCCATTGACAGTGACATTTCCAGGAAGCCACAGACCTTGTCACCCCCTACAGAATTCTGAAGCTGTTCATAAGCAGGCCACGTGGAAGATTTCTCTCAAAAGCTGTTGAGCATGAGGCTTGGCTAGAGAAAAAAGAGGGCTGCGGCACAATGGACAGTGTCTCAGACATCAGGACAGTTTCCACAGCAGTTTAGGAAAGAAGGCAGCGCCCTGGGCTGCAGAAGGCGCAATGCTCTGGGAAGAACCCTGGGTGCAGCTGAAAGAGGAACTTGAGAAGGATAGGGCCAATCAGTTGAGGACAACCCGCCCGATTTGGGCAAAGGTAAGGTGCCTATGTAGGGTAATACCCTCCTCAATGCTCAGCGCAGACCTGTCCTCTAGGTCCACCTATGTACTCATTCTCCTTGGCAAAGAGTCGGCATAGCATAAGAACTCAGCAGTGCTTTGGACACCGGGAAGTCCACACCGCTCTGCCCCTCCCTCCAGGGCTATGCACCCCGGGTCCCGGTACATGCTGTGATTATAGTTCTGAAGCCTACCGACAAACAGGCTGAGAGCAGTTAACAGACTACAGCTCCCAGCATATTAGGTAGGGCGTGTACCACTCGGCCCCTTCTTCCAGGCCTGTACCTCGCCCCCGAGACTGGCACATGCTGGGATTGTAGTCCTGTAGCCCTTTGACCAAAGGGCTGGGAGTGTTTATAAGAATACATCTCCCAGCAAGCCGAGGGAGACGCACACAGCCCCGCCTCTTTCTCCACTGACGGGCCGTGTCCCTGACCCCAGTGCATAATGGGATGGTAGTCCTGCAGCCCTGTGACACAAGTTCTGGTAGTCTTTATGAAACTACATCTCCCAGCAAGCAGAAGGAGGCATCCACATCCTAGACTTTTCCTCCAGTAATGCGCACTCTCCCTGAGCCGGGTGCATGCTGGGATTGTAGTCCTGCAGCCCGGTGATGAGAGGTCTGGGAGTGTTTATGAGACTGCAACTCCCACCAAGCCCAGAGAGGCGTGCACAACCCTGCCTCTTCCTCCAGTGACGCGCACATTCCCTGCGCCCGGTCCATGCTAGGATTGTAGCGCTGCAGCCCAGTGACCAAAGGGCTGGGAGTGTTTATGAGACTGCATCTCCCAGCAAGACCAGCGAGGTGTGCAGAGCCTCGCCCCTTTCTCCACTGATTAGCGCACTCTCCCTGATCCCGATGTATGCTGGGATTGTAGTGATGCAGCCCAGTGACCAAAGGGCTGGGAGTGTTTACGAGAATACGTATCCCAAAAAGCATAGCGAGAACAGCACAGGTCCACCTCTTCCTACAGTGACGCGCGTTGTCCCTGAGCAGGATGCATGCTGGGATTGTAGTCCTGAAGCCCTGTGACCAAAGGGCTGGGAGAAATAAAGAGACAACATCTCCCAGAAAGCCCAGCAAGGCGCTCACACGCCTTTCTCTTCCTCCAGTGAGGCGGACTGCCCCGGCGCCCCGTGCATGCTGGAATTGTAGTCCTACAGCGATGTGATGAAAGGGCTGGTAGTGTTTATGAGACTACCTCTCCCAGCAAGCCCAGAGAGGTGCGCACAGACCTACCTCTTCCTCCAGTGACTAGTGCACTCTCCCTGAGCCAGAGATATGCTGAAATTGTACTGCTGCAGCCCTGCGACCAAACGACTGGGGTAGTTATGAGACTGCATCTCCCTGCAAGCCCAGCGAGGCACGCACAGCTCCACGTCTTCCTCCAGTGATACACACTGTCCATGAACCCGCTGCATGCTGGCATTGTAGTCCTGCAGCCCTGTGACCAAAGGGCCAAGAGACCACATCTCCCAGAAGACCTAGGGAGACGCACACAGCTCCGCATCTTTTCCCCGTGTCGCATACTGCTTTGATCCCGATGCATCCTGGGATTGTAGTCCTGTAGCCCTGTGACAAAAGGTCTGAGAGTCTTTATGAAACAACATCTCCCAGCAAACGCAGCGAGGTGCGCACAACCTGCCCCTCTTTCTGCAGTGATGTGGACTCTCCCTGAGCCCCGTGCATGCTGGGATTGTAGTCTTATAGCACTGTGACCATAGGGCAGGGAGAGGCCATGGGACTACATCTCCCAGGAAGCCCAGCAAGGCGCACACTGCCCTGCCTCTTTCTCCTTAGACTAGCGCACTGTCACTGAGCTGGGTGCATGCTAGGATTGTAGTCCTGCAGCCTTATGACCAAAGGGATGGGAGTGTTTATGAGAATACATCTCCCAGTACGCCCAGGAGGTGCACACAGCCCTGCCTCTTCCTGCAGTGATTAGCGCACTATCCCTGAGCTGGGTGCATGTTGGGATTGCAGTCCTGGATCTCTGTGACCAAAGGGCTGGGAGCGTTAATGAGACTACATCTCCCAAAAAATCACAGCTAGAAGCGCAAAGCCCTCCCTCTTCCTCCAGTGACGCGCGCTGTCCCTGAGCCCAGTGCATGCTGGGGCTGGAAGTGTAGTCCTTCAGGCCTGTGATGAAAGGGCTGGGAGGTTTTATGAGAATACAACTCCCAGCAAGCCTGGCGAGTAGCACACAACCCCGCCTCTTCCTCCACTGACGCACAATTTCCCTGAGCCCGGTGCTGGCTGGGATTGTAGTCTTCCGCCTCTTCCTCCAGTGACAGGCACTGTCTCTTAGCCAGGTGCATGCTGGGATTGTAGTCTTCCCGCCCTATGACCAAAGGGTTGGGTATGTTTATGAGAATACATATCCCACCAAGTCCAGCGAGGCGTGCACAATCCCGCCTCATTCTGCAGTTACGCG
This sequence comes from Homo sapiens, assembly GCF_000001405.40. Taxonomy (NCBI): domain Eukaryota; kingdom Metazoa; phylum Chordata; class Mammalia; order Primates; family Hominidae; genus Homo; species Homo sapiens. The sequence continues at coordinate 7,097,383 of NC_000021.9, read as the reverse complement.
CACTATCCTTGATCTTGGTGCATACTGGGATTGTAGTCCTGCTGCCCTGTAATGAAAAGTCTGGGTGTCTTTATGAAACTACATCTCCCAGGAAGCCAAAGGAGGCGCGCAAAACTGTGTCTCTTCACCCAGGCACATGCACTATCCCTGATCCCGGTGCATGATGGGAATGTAGTCCTGCAGCCCTGTGACCAAAGGGCTGGGAGTGTTTATGAGACAGCATCTCTCAGCAAGCAAAGCAAGGCCTGCACAGCCCCGCCTTTTCCTCCAGTGAGGCGCACTGTTCATTAAGGAGTGTTCATGAGATTACATTTTCCATCAAGCCCAGCGAGTCACGCACAGCTCTACCTCTTCCTCTGCCGGCGCGCACTGTCTCTGATTCCGGTGTATGCTGGAATTGGGGTGCTGCAGCCCTGTGACCAAAGGGCTGGGAGTCTTTATAAGACTACATCTCCCAGCAAGCACAAGAGGTGCTCACAGCCGCACACCACCCTCCCCGCCCCACTCTTCTTTCAGTGACCGCGCACTGTCCCGTGAACCTGGTGCATGCTGGAATTCTCCCGTTGCGGGATTCAGGAGGATGAGAGAGACCCCGGGTTGAAACAGGAGAATTTTTATTGAGTGCACTCAGTGTCAGGCCTCTGAGCCTAAGCTAAGCCATCGTACCTTCTGTGACCTGCACGTACACATCCAGATGGCCGGTTCTTGTTTTAACTGATGACATTCCACCACAAAAGAAGTGAAAATGGCCTGTTCCTGCCTTAACTGATGACATTGTCTTGTGAAATTCCTTCTCCTGGCTCATCCTGGCTCAAAAGCTCCCCGACTGAGTACCTTGTGACCCCCCCACTCCTGCCCGCCAGAGAACAATCCCCCTTTTTCCTTTACCTACCCAAATCCTATAAAATGGCCCCATCCCTATCTACGTTTGCTGACTCTCTTTTCGGACTCAGCCTGCCTGCACCCAGGTGATTAAAAGCTTTTATTGCTTACACGAAGCCTGTTTGGTGGTCTCTTCACACGGACCCCCATGAAACTGAGGACAAGCTAACTCACATCAAAAAGACTGGGCCCGGAACAAAGACAGAACCTGACTTTTATGCACATTTCACAAAAGGTGGTGGGCTAGCTTGAAGCAAGTTTACAGTGGCGTGAAAGCAGGGATACAGAGGCAGGACAGACAGGATTGCACATGACCGTTGCCAAGCAACCCACATGTCCATTTTCTAGGTTTCCCTGGGCATGGGCTTATCCTATAACCCTCACTATGGTGCCCAAACAGCTGTAGTTCAGCCTACTCAGGCTTCTCATGACTTACATTGTACTTCTTAGATAAAACAGAATACTTGAAGTCACTAGTTACAGAGAACAAGAATCTATAAACTCATTCCGTAAAAAAAGGAAATTTGTTTTTCTTTTCCCGATGTTGGGGGAGCGTTGGGAGAGCCTCCAGAGCACATTAGATAATATTATCAAGACTATTCCTGGTTCTGGGCTGTGCCTGTTGAAGCCTCTGGGACAAGTCAGCCCAATACAAGAAAATTTATTTCTCTTTCTTTTTAATTTTATTTTTCTTTAATTTCCCTCCTCAGTCCCACAGCCCTGTGACCAAAAGACTGGGAGTGTATGTCAGGCCTCTGAGACCAAGCCAAGCCATCGCATCCCCCGTGACTTGCACGTATACGCCCAGATGGCCTGAAGTAACTGAAGAATCACAAAATAAGTGAATATGCCCTGCCCCACCTTAACTGATGACATTCCACCATAAAAGAAGTGTAAATGGCCGGTCCTTGCCTTAACTGATGACATTATCTTGTGAGAGTCCTTTTCCTGGCTCATCCTGGCTCAAAAAGCACCCCCACTGAGCATCTTGCGACCCCCACTCCTGCCCGCCAGAGAACAAACCCCCTTTGACTGTAATTTTCCTTTACCTACCCAAATCCTATAAAACGGCTCCACCCTTATCTCCCTTCGCTGACTCTCTTTTCGGACGCAGCCCGCGTGCACCCAGGTGAAATAAACAGCCATGTTGCTCACACACAGCCTGTTTGGTGGTCTCTTCACACGGACGCGCATGAAATGTACAGTTACGCTTCTGTTCACTTGTCATGAGACTGTTTTCTTTTACCCCCATGAACGTACTTACCATAGCTTCTTTCAAATCTTATCTACTGATTACAGCATCTTGCACATCTTGAGAATAGGTTCTATTGTCTGCTTTTTATCTTGTGAATCGATTACACTTTCATGCTTCTTCACACATCTCATGAATTTTTAAATTGTGTGATAGGAACTACAGGGACTCTGGATTCTGTTGTATTTCTTTGAAAATTATTATTTTAAGAGGGAGTTAATTTGAATAGATTCAAACCCCAATCCTTATCTCTTCCACAGTGGCATAGATAAAATCTTCATTCAGTCTTCTAAACAGTGTGCCTTTCTATATAGCAAAATATAGTATTTTATTAAGCTTTATTATTGTTATCTGTGAAATAGTTATTCAACGAACTAGTCTACTTCATTATTACTGGAAACCAGAACCTCAGTTGTGTTCACTTTCTGGATTTTATATAAGTGAAATTATATAATATGTATACTTTTACATCTACTTTCTTCTAGGCAACTTTATATTTATGATATTAATTCATGCTATTGCAGATAGCTATAGTTTGTTTATTTAAAAAATATTTTTTACATTTTGGCAAAGTATACATAAAATTAACCATCTTAACTATTTTAAGTGTTCAGCTCAGAGAAATTAACTACACTCACATTGTTTTGCAACTATTATTCCCATTCATAAGGATCTTTTTTCAACTTCCAAACCAAAATTCAATACACATTAAATAACAGCTCCCTGTTACTCCCCCTCCAGCTCCTAGGAACCACTCTTCTACGTGGGTTTCCAGAATTTAACTACTCTAAGTATCTCATAAGTGGAATGATACAGTATTTGTCCTTTTATGACTGGCTCATGTCACTTTGCACAATGTCCTTAAGGTTCATGCATGACGTACCATGTGTCAGAATTTCCTTATTTTTCATAACTGAATAATATCCCACTGTATGTATAAATCACATTTTATCTATTTATTCATTGATGATAATTCAAACAACACAGGTAATTCAAAAACCTTTTGAGTGATGTGAGTCATGCTGCTATGAGCTTAGGTGTACGTGTATTATTTTGTGTCTTCGCTTTCACATCTTTTGCAACATACCAAGATGTGAAATTGCTGGATCATACGGTGATTTTGAGTGTAAATTATTTCGTTACTATGGTGTTGTTTTATAGCAGCTGCAGCATTTTACATTTCCACCAAGTGTACAAGGGTTCTAACTGCTCCACTTCCTCACCAACACTTGTGATTTTCTGTTTTTTTTTTCTTTTTGTACTAGTTATGCTGATGTGCATTAAGTGATATGTCATTTGGGGTTAGATTTTCATTTTACTAATGAAAATGAAAAGGTTTTGTTGAGTACCTTTTCATGGGCTTATAAGCCACTTCACATAATTTTTAGAGAAATATCTGTTTAAGTATTTTGCCCATATTTTAAACAAGTAGTTTATTATTGCTGAATTGTTCTTTGTATATTCTGGATAGAGTCCTCTTTATCTATTTTTCTTTTGTTTCTTGCATTTTTGGTGTCCTGTTAAAAGAAATCACTGCGAAATCCAGCCTTATGACGTGTTTTACCTACATTTTATACTAAGAATTTTGTAGTTTTAGCTCTTACATTTAGGTCTTTGATCCAGTTAGTTAATTTTTTCTTATAGTAGAAGTTAAGGGCCCAGCTTCACTCTTTTACATGTGGGCACCCAATTTCCCCAGCACTAATTGTTGTAAAGGCAGTTCATTTCCCATAAAAATCATTTGACCTTATATATGAGGGTTTATTTATATGGGCCTTCTATATTACTCCATTAGTCTCTTTGTAGCATGCTATTTTGGAATTTTGTAGTAAGTCTTGAAATCATTAAGTGTGACTTGTCTAACTTTGGTATTTTTTTCAAAATTATTTTTGCAATTTAAAGATCTTTGAGATTCCCCATAAACTTAAAAATTGATTTTTTAATATCTACACAAGAGTAATTGGCATTTTACTTCTTCGTTACTTCCTAACTACTTTATTCTTTTGATACTATTGTAAATTGAATTGTTTTCAGAGTTTTCTTCTCAGATTATTCATGTTACTACATAAAATGCAGTTTGTTTTTGTATGTTGATTTTGTATGCTACTATTCAGCTGAATTTATTAGTTGTAATATTTTTTGGTGGAATCTTAAAGATTTTCTACATATAAGAATATATTTTCTGTACACATTTTGATGCAGTTTATTTCATTGTCTTTTTTAATTTCTCTGAATGAAACTTCTAATACAGTGTTGAATAAAAGTGGCTAGCAAGAGCAGATATTCACTCTGTCTTCGGAGCTTAGAGGAAACACTTTTGATCTTTTCCTCTGGAATATGTTGTTTGCTGTGGGTTTTTATATGTGAATTTTACAAAGCTGGTTTCCTTTTATTCCTAATTTATTGTTTTTATTATAAAATATTTTGAATTTTGTAAAATACGTTATCTGTATTAATGAGAGAATACTTTTTAAAAAGTTTGTCAATGTGGCATATGCATTGATTAATTTTCATATGCTTAAACTTTTGTTAAGAAAGGCTAGCTAAGTGAACCAGTGAGACTGGAAAAAGAATAAAGAAATCTATACTGGTTGTGATCAATTATTTGTAAACACCACTGCACTGAAACCACCCATATGCTAAAACTTCCTTTCATTCCAATAATAAACTCCCCTTGGTCATGGGTTGTAATCTTGCTAGTATGCTGCTGAATGTAGTTAGCTAGGATGTTGCTGACTAGTTTTGCATCCGTGTTCATAAGGGATATTAGTCTATGGGTTTTTGTAGTATCTTTGTCTGGCTTCGGTATGAGCTAATGGTGGCTTCATGGAATAAGTTTGGAACTGCTCTCTTCAGGCTTTTGGTAGACTTTGGAAAGGATTTTTGTTCTATAAATGCTTGATCTAAATCACTAGTGAAGCCAACAAAATAAGGGCTTTTCTTTATGAAGAGGCTTTTAATTACTGATTCCATTTCCTTAGTAGTTTTGTATCTATTCAGATTTTGTATTTCTTTGTAATCAAGTCTTGTATACCTAGGAATCTGCCCACTTTATCTACGTTTTCCAATTTATCATCCTATCATAGTTCACAGTACAGTTTTTTAAACATTTTAATTCTTTGAATTAGTAGTAATGTCCCACTTTCATTTCTCATTTTAGTATGTGAATATGCTGTTAATTTTTTGTGTGTGTAGCTGAAAGTTTGCCAATTGTTAATTTTTTGAAGAAGTGAGAATGAACTTTTGGTTTTTTGGAATTCTGTGGTTTGTATAATCTCCATTGCATTTATCTCTGCTAAAAGCTTTAATATTTTCTTCTTTCTCTTTGCTTTGCATCTAATTTGGTGTTATTTTTCTAATTTACTAGGTGATAAAGTTATTATTTATTTGAAATCTTTGTTCTTTTTAAATGCATTTTAGCTGCAAACTTTACATCTTAGCACTCTTTTTGCTGTTTCCCTTAACTTTTGATGTGTTTTGTTTTCATTTTTCTTCCTCTGTAAGTATGTTCCAACTTCCTCTGTGATTTCTTCCTTTACTTATTTGTTGTTTAAGGGTATGTTGTTTAATTTATACAGTTTTGTAAACTTTCTAACGTTTCTTCTGTTATTGATTTAATTTGAGATCTACTACACAGCCCATCGTGGGGAAATCCCCATGTGCATTTGAGAAGAGTGTGTAGTCTCTTTTGTTGGATGGAGTATATTGTATATATCTGTTAGATCAATTTGGTTCATTGAGTTATTCAAGAACTCTATTTCCTAATTTATCATCTATCTCATTTTTCTATTCATTACTCAGAGTGGAGTATTAACATCTTCAACTATTATTTTAGAACTGCCTTTTTGCCCCTTTAATTCTGTCAAGTTATGCTTTCTATATCTCAATGTTTTATTATTAGGTATGGGTTTAAACTATTTCTATCTTCCTGCCAAATGGACAATCTATGACTATATAATGTCTTATTGTCTCTTTTAAGTTTTTAAGTCTATTTTGTCTGCTATTAATATAGTCATTCCCAGTCTCTTTTTCATACTATTGGTATAAAATAATTATTTTCTTCCTTTTTTTTTATAACCCTCAAGTCCTGTGGAAGGCTAAGAGCAGCATTACTTAATTTAAAAAGCAGATAAATCTTAAATCCATAGTTTAATATTTCTAAAAGCATTTAAATGGAAATGAGCTACGCAGTCTACCAGGAACGAAGGATATCAGTTGGGTCTAAGAATAATCATGTCAAAAAGCTCTAGGAGGAAAAGCTGCTGGGAATTAAGACTGTGATAACGGTCTTTGGGATCAAGAAGGAAATGGGGAATTGGGGATGCTCAAGGTCAGGTACATGCTTAGCAAAAGACCCAGAAAACCCTAAGCTCTCACCTCTGCATTTTAAACTCTGCACAAGTAGAAAGTAGAGGCTCAAGGAGAGATGTAACTTTATGCTGATTGGTAAAGGCATGCTCCAACACACATACATAGATCTCAGGTGAAAAAATCAGATATTTATGTTTAGTGAGAGTTAAAAAATCTGGAGTCTTACTTTCCAATTAAGGTTTAGTGAAAATATTTGGGGAGATTTGCATTGATCAATTCATCCTGAGGTCAAGAAAATCTTGATTTTGGCATTTGGAGCCTCTAGTAAAGGACTAGCCTCCTCCCAGAGGTGTTCTTTGGGCTTTTGGACTCAGTGACACACTACTGGTTACACTGATTTGAAAGTCAGCTAAGAGCTTGCTGCAGAACTCCTGACAAACTCAGTTTCACCCATAGAGGGCTAGAGCATCCCCAGCTGGTTGAAATTTTATGCCTCCTTCTATCCTCTGAAGCAAAGATGCTGTCTCTGTGGGGCCCCCAATTTACTGAGTGTTTCCTATATGACTGGTCCTGGTTCATAGATGAGTCAGGGAAGGTGAAACCTCATGATGTCCACTGGGCTGCTGTGGCTGTTTAACCTGTGCCAGCCATACAGAACCTGACATGAGTGGTTGCTCCTCTCAAAGGTCAGAACTCAGGGTTTGGGATAATGGCACATATTCTATCTGTTTGGTTATCTACAATGGAAACTGTAGACTGTCTGAATATCTTTTGGGCTGCAAACTGGAGACAATCTCAGATGCTGATCTAACTGGATCACTCATCTAGAAGTCCATGGTAAGGGTTTGTTTTCTAGAGAGTGACAACAATCAAGCTGCAGATTGAACCTAAATCTGTGTCTAACGCAGAGTCTAATACTGCAAACCAGACTTGGGGTTGCTGGTGAAAGTTGACCTATTTGTCTCATGGTTGAAGAATTCCTAGACCATACCAAGCAGAGTAACCAGAAGTGGACTTTTGGCCCACTTCTTGAGATATCAGTCACCACTCTTGACATCTTCAGCATAACAGTATGCCGACACCATCCATACCATGTGTCCCGTGAAGCTAATCTGTGCCATCTTTTAGGCTTTTGAGACCAATTGAGCTCTGACTTCGCGGCATTTTTCACCACACGTACTAAAACAAGCCAACTCTATGATGTTCCCTCCTTTTCCACACATGCTGGTTAGATAATTTGTTGATTAGGTATGGTTTATTTTCTCTTCCTGATTGCCTCCAAGATAAGGATGAAATGTTTGGGGGATCTAGGAATCATCTAGGAATCTATTTCACAAACTTGGAATTTCGTGCTAATAATTCCTGGGTGAAATGTGACTTTCTTTCCCATAACTGCAATTCTAGGCAAGCCTGGCTTTTGTATCCTCTGAGTTGCATCTCAGCCTAGTAGCAGTTATGGGACTCCAACTTAGTTCCAGCTAAGTTTTATGTAAATATTCTTGTCTCTATTTTACCTGGCTCTAGTAGATAAAGTGTCTAGAAAAAAGTAGAGGGCGACTAGAATAAAGATGAGATTATAGGTACCGGAATGAGACACACTGATTCTGTGGAAGTAGTGGGAGAACAACCTGGAACCTGGGGTATGAACAACACAGACCTCGGAAGCTACGGGAAACGGTGGGACATTAACAACTTTTTTTCTTTCTGAACAACCCCTGGTGCAGCCCACAGAAAGGTCTGGAAATACTATTAGTTAGATCAGACGGTAAGGCAGAGGCTGTGGATTCATCTCCTTTTGGTCCCCACATTACTCTTAAGAATCCTTTGAGACTATTCTATCTCTCCGTGATGTAGGCATGGAACTCTAGTGGGCAGTGTGCACTCTCGGTGCCCATGGTTCCAGGCCACAGTTTTTCAGATGATGGACAACAATTGCTTTTTCCTGAAGAGACTTAGTACCCTGTGGCTGAGCTTAAGCGGGACTCTAGACAGCATTGATTGCATTTTCTTCTTCCTCTACGAACTGGGATTTCTCCTTCTGTTTTTCTACTGCCTAGAGGTGAATCTGTATTTGTCAATATTTAGGTAAATCAGAGACATAAATCAGGTAAGGAACCCTAGACACTGCTTCTAGGCTAGCTGGACTCTTGCCTATTTCCCTTCTCACTTTATGAGATCAATTATATTGGCACAGGTTGATACCCTTAGATAGTGTCTCTAAGGAGCAATTAGAGAAGCATACTTCTAGAGAAGCTGGTAGGACAGGGCAGGAGGGCCAATGAGGATCAAAGTTTCTGTCCAAATTTTTGAGCCTAGGTGTGTGTGGCCGACGAATCCAGGAAAGATCCCAGATCCCTGGAAGGGATTGTTAAGAGAGGATCCATTAGATTAGAATGCTAGGGTGGGTGTTCATCCGTCGCCTTCTGAGTGGGATTTTCAGGGTTAAGACTGAGGTAGGGCTGCAGAGAAATGCTATCCTGGGAAAGCCTCTGATCGAGTGCAACATAGGTGGCTCCAGCACAAGGAGAAGTCCTCTATTTGAGGAACATTATACTTGTGTGGATGTGTCTGTGCTCTTCCTCAGCAGAGCCCCACTGACTGAATGATTGTTTGAGAATTATGAGTAAAGAGCCCTATATTATTTTGAATTTAGTAAATATTGGAAGAGAAACAAACAATATTATCTACTTTCAAATTGAATAACAGCATGAGCAACTTTCAGGAAAATGTCACAGGAGGAAACTCCAGGGCCTTGCTCATCCCTGGAAACCTTGAAAATCCTGATGCAACCTGTAGGGTTAAACTTATCAATACTTAATTTTTTGCCATATAGATTTATCTTCATAAAAAATATTTTCATTGGACCTTCATTTTGATATATGCCATGAAGAATAAATCATTTATTTCCTTTGTGATAAGAACATCACATTTTTACACCTCATGTATAAATGATGCCATCACCCATGTAGTTTTTATTGCTATGGCCTGAATGTTTATGTCCCCTTTCAAATTCATGTGTATAATTTTAGGCGTGAGGCCTTTGGGAAAGTGGTGAAGCCAAGAGTTCTTCATCTTCATGAATGGAATCAGTGCTCTTTCAAAGGAAGTTGAAGGGAATGCCCTTGTCCCATGTGCGAGATGGTACCATCTATGGGGAATAGGGCTCTCACCATATACGAAATTTGCTGCTGCCTTGATCTTGCACTTTCCAGACTCCATAACTGTGAAAAATACATTTCTCTTATTTATCCTTTACCCAGTCTAAGGTATTTTGGTATAGCAGCCAAGATGCACTATGACACTTTCTTAGACACTTTGGTTTATTTCTGAATTTTTAGTTTCAGTGATCCATGAGTTTTTTAATCAATCAAGATTTTACACAGGGCTTGCCAGTGGTTTTTTTTTTTTTCAGAGTTTTCTTGTCTATTCTTGTTTGTGTTTTCATCTATATAACATTTTATAGTAACGTGTACTTGCAATATTTAATGGTATCAGTATAGGAACAAAATTGAATTTATAAATAACTATAAGGACAATTGATGTTGATAATATTGAGTTTTTCTGCCTAAGAATATGATACAAATTGTCTATTTGCTTATGTCTACATTCATATATTTCATAAACTTTCTATGTTTTTTCCATATTCCGTAGATATTTTTGTAATATTTATTCCTAGTTTATTCTGCTAAAAAGTAATTTGAGACACAATGAAATTGCAAAGTGTTTATTTGAGTAAGAGCAATTGATAAATTATAAAATATCAGACGGAAAGATATTGAGTGCTTCATTGACAGTGTAAGAAGCAAGTATTTATTTGAAAAATGTAGAAACAAAGAAATCATTTGGTGGTAGCACAACTTTTTTTATTGTTTTTTGTTTGTCTGTTTACCTTGTTGGACAGTTTCTATTTATATAAGGTTGTTGGCTACTTCTGACTGGTTGAGCTTCATTTCTCTTTTTTCAATATGCAGCTACAAGAAATAATTTAAGTTTTGTTTGTATTTGCAAATCAAGCGAGGTTGAGATCACTTATGAGACCTAACTAATTTTGTCTGCTCAGAGATTATTGAGACATGATCTCCATTTTAATTTCCTTTAACAAATTTTCTGTACTTTTACTTTCCATCCAAACAGTAACTTATAAATTATTATTGTTGTACATATGTAGGCCCATGTTGTGTATGCTTTGAAGACCTGTCCTGCATTCAAACTCATTTGTATTATGTTATTATTGAATTTGCCCCATTTATTGGAATTATAAACTGCAATCCCCCAACTACAAGAGGTATGAGCTCTGATGAGATAAGAGTAAAGATGAATCAGAAGTGAAAACAGTCCTCCAACCCACACATGCAGTAAAAACAAATTTCACATGAATACAATGAGTAATTATCTAAAATTTAAAGTACCCTGAAAACATTAATGTTTATCTCATTATTATGTAATATGGAAATTACAAGGCAAAAAAATCCAAAGACTTACTGTTTAAATATAATTGAAGTTTTTTATATGATGAAGTGCTCCATAATTTAAATGTAAAAAGCCAATAGGAAATATATGAAATAAAATAAAATTATACGTAAAAGTGACAATGCCTCTATTAGATTTAACAGTATCTTACAATAGAATAAGTTGAAACCTACAAAATGGAAGAAAGTTTAAAATTAGGCAGATATTATCAGCCTGGTGAAGAATAAATACATATGTCAATAAGCATTTAATGTATTTTGTCTTAGATTTTACATGAAATAATAAAAAGTAAGCAAACCAATAGCATGGTAGTTTCACCCTGATTGATTCAAACTGAAAAAATATTAACATTTCTCCATGAGAAGTTGGATTCATGGATTGGCCTCATGCTGCATTCAAGGCACTTTAGCCAGGATCCAACACTCATTGCCAAGAGTCAGCAGGCTAGAAGTTTGCTTTTAAGATGTTCCCCGGCCTGCGACCAAGACGCTTTTTCCTGACTACTTCTTCAACTCTGACATAGGTTTTGCTGATATAAACGCAAACCCGGCTCTATACCTACCAAGTATCTACTTGGCTAGAGCTGCAAATGGAGCATTTAGGCACTAGGCAAGAGCTCTTCCCACGTTTCCAAGCACACTTTCTAGAATTTCCCAAAACTACTGACATTGTCTTTCAGACCCCATCTCCCAAAGAGAATCAGAGAGATGGTCTGGAAGCCATTTAGAATCTCCAGCCTCCAACCTAGTAACAATGGACTTGGATACAAAGACGCAACCTACTGACCTCAAAGACACCAGCCCAGATTCTGGGCATTGAATTCCTGCCTCCCCATGAAAGATCTCAACTGAGTCACATCAAAGCCCACACTCTTCTTCAAGGTTCACCTTCCAGACACGCTCCAAAACAGTCCCTCAGAATTGTCTTGAGATGAAACAAAAGGTGATGAAGGTCCAGGTTTGGAATGCCTGCCTCATTCTTCACTCCTGAAAAGTCTACACCTGCTGGTTAGCACTCTCATATGTTAGGGAGCCCGGGCTCTGAGTGCATCCTTTAACAGGACCTCCTGGCCTTTTCCTACTTGGAGTAGAGTGCCCAAGAATAATAGGGAATACAAGGCCTCCACTCTCACATGGCTTGATTGACTGATGAACTGATGTCGGAGGAGGAAACATATGTAGGGAACAGCCTGGGTCTTGTGAATCCGTTTCCCAGCTATGATGCCTGTGCAAATGGAGGGAGAATCGTCAAGTATTATTGGGTGGTAGACAGACACTGCCTAATAAAATTAAGTAAATGTAAGGTGACTTGAAGGGGAATTTATCATATGTCATATACAAAATTTTAGTTGGTCAACTTTATTTAAAAACAGTCACAATTTGTAAGGGCATTCAAATATAATTTTAATAGGGAGCTATGAAAATTATCTGCACTTGCTATGTAAGTGATTGAGTTAGGGGTAACTATCTGAAGGTCATGAGCTTGATATCTGCTACTTAATTTCATAAGACATTTACTTGCAAATGGTTGCCATTTTTGCTCTCACTATATGAAAATTTTTTCTTGCAAAGAGCATTCCTATGAAAGAAAAACTAGAAATTTTGCCAATTTCGGCTATTAAAACGATAAAACTGGTTTGTTTGTTATTCTTAACCAAATGCTCTTACAGATGACACATAGTACCCATGCTTTGATTGTTTTTTGTTTTTCTTTTCACCTTAGGTCAATTGCCTTTCATTTTATTTATCAAACTGTATTTACTGTAGATAGACATTGCAGTTCTCATGTGCCCTATGGATTTGTACTTTCTTAGAAGTATGAAAAAATTCTCAGGCTGAGTATATTGGCTTATGCCTGTAATCCCAGCAATTTGGGAAGCCGAAGCAGGTGGATCACCTGAGGACAGGAGTTCAAGACTAGCATGGTCAACATGGTGAAACCCCATCTCTCTACTATTCACAGTTCACATTGTACCTTGCAATGAATATACATTTTATCCAAAAAGGCTAAAAAATAATGAAATTGGGGTGGAAATGGCTGGAAGTATAGGTGAAACAAAAATGACACATGACTAGTAGCTGTTAAATCTGGGTGACTGGTCTGTTATCCTTTTTTTGTATTATGTATACGTTTTTAATGTTCTGTAATAAAACACGTGTAGAAAATGACAAAGTTTATCTACACTTAGCTCTTAAGGTCTTGGTTACCTTTGGGAAGGAGAAAGTGTCAAGGGCATGAGCAAATCTGATTCTTACATACACAAGTGTATTTATTTAGTAATAATTCATCAAGCATTCCATAAATATTTTGTTCCTATATTGCTGTATGCATGTTATTCATCAATAAATATTTAAATAGTACATATTTGCATAACAATCCTAAATTAATATTTTAGAATAATAGTAATGTTTTGTTTTGTTTTAAAGTGGGGCGTGTTCACTCAGGACATCGTCAGGTGTATATTAATGTTCCAAGATATTTATTTACGTTTTAACTTTTGGAAGAGTCCCCTAGGTCTTTTAATTTTTACCTCAGTACAGTAAGTAGCATGGTTTTAACTTTTTGGATTGCAGCTTTGTTTTCAGAAAGGTTCTCCCCGAAGAATGATGCTCACCCCGGCCAGCGCACACAGCACAGTGACCCGTGCACAGGATGCACTGAGCACACACGGCACTGGGTGAACCATGAACAGAAGGACAAGCCAGCCTGGGTCTGCAAAATATACTTTGCAGGAAAAGCAGGTAAAATTGAAAGGTCACAATTCAGCAGCAAACGTTTTTACATTCATTTGAGAAATCATTTCTAACAAAAGCTGCTCGTTAAAGCCATGGTTTTCTGGCTTGCCTACACATTGTAATCACCTGCACAACTTTCAACCGTATTTTTTTCAGATCCAGCTCCAAGGATTCTGATTTAGTTGTGCGGTTACAACTTGGGTTTAAGGGATTTTGATAGTTTTCCTCCCCGCAGGTGACTCTCTTGCGCCAGGGGTAAGAAGCGCTGGATAGGGGTGAGGGGTGCTTTAGCTGTGAGAGATAGCCATGTACGCTTCAGGATTTGCCCCATCGCATATCTGGAGTTCGGGGTCTTAGAAAATATTCTTGCCCTGTTAAAAATTAAAGGATGGCTTCAATACAAATTTAGCTATTTGGCTACGTTGCAGAAAAAGAAAATGCCTTTCCAGAGATCAGTTTTTTGAGTCAGAGTTTTGTTCTGTCAGTGAGGCTGGAGTGCAGTGGTGTGATCATGGCTCACTGCAGCCTTGACCTCCCAGGCTCAGGTGATCCTCCAGCTCCAGCCTTCTGAGTAGCTGGGACTGAAGGCATACACCAGGCATGGCTAATTTTTCAATTTTGTTGTTGTTGTTGTTGAGATGGCTTTCTCTATGCTGCCTGGGCTAGTCTCAAACTCCTTGCCTCAAATGATCCTCCCACATCAGTCTCCCAAACAGTTCAACCTACACGAACAGGCAACCATGCCTGGTGTATTTATTAAAATGTAGCTACTAGAATATTTAAAATTCACATGTGCCTCACATATTATTTCTTAGAGAATTGCCTCATTTTTGAAATCTCAGGCTGCCTGCTCTAAAACCTGGATGTGCCAGGAAAGTAAAACATCTGAAATTTTAAAACAATTGTCATTATATTGCTTCCATGTATGAATAACACATATATATTTTTCATAAATACAAATAATCTTACACACAAATGAAAATGCAAGTATTTTACAGGCAGGGCCAGTGTCCAGTGCATGAAGGAAGCCCTGCCAGAAAAGGATCCAGGAAAAACTTATAATTCTTGCTTTATTCAATCCAGTGTCAAATCACATATGTCACTCATGGCCTGAGGGGGCTTGGTGGGGAATTGAACTATATCCAATCATGGGTGCTGGAGTGGAAATTATCTAATCAGGTGCACAGCTGGAGAAGAATGGGCAGCTTTTTGGATCTAGGGATGCCTTTGCCTGTCTCTCTACTCAGAGCTCAGGACACTAGAGCCACCTCAACGCAATTGCCTGTTTTTTAGTTGTTTTAATGCTCCAAAAGAGAATTAGTTTTCTCATGCATTTTCCAAATGTGTGGCAAGAAGAGCCTCAAATCTACCACCCTGTTACCCCAGCCTAACTCTGGCTTGCTGTCAGAGTTTAAATTTCCAGTTCTTTCCTGACACTTACCAACACTAACTAACCTTGTGTAACTCACAACATTATCAACTGTTCTTTATTGTACATTTTAGACACAGTATTTTAATTCTGCATTTTTTCAAAAAGCAGTGGATGACACTTAAAAAAATATTTTTCATTTGTAAACATTTTACAGGACATGAAAGCAGATAATAATCCCCTGACAATCCACAGTAAAAAAAAAGAAAAGAAAAGAAAAGAAAATATTTGTGCCCCTTTCTTTAATCTTCCCTTGGCACAGACACCCCATCAGAATGTTTTTGGGTTGAGGTTTCATTTCAGAAACCTCACAGGGCAATACATCCTCAGCCATCTTGTGTTATTTTCTTGGTTTTGGGTTTCAAAACTGTTTGAGAATCCCCAAGATACCAACACTGGCCATGACTCTTGAAGTGTCTAGTAAATAACATCCCTTGTGTCATCTCCTCTCAGGGAACAGCCCAAGGTATGGGAATGCAGCCTCTTTTTGGAGTGGTTGGATGCACTATACCTGGAAGGAATCTCCACGTATACATTTGCGCTAAAAGCAAACCCTTTAGGACATTAAGAATTTCTTACCCCAACGCTTAGTTTCCATTCCTTAGAGACACATTGCATGCCAGGCAACTGGATGCTGAATAGTGAGGAAAAAATGTCCTCAGATTGGTGAAGGGAGAGAAAATATTTCAAAGGACAAAGAAACCCAACCTAGTGAGGCAGTGCAAAAACCTGCAAAGTAAAATGCACCTCACAGACACAGTGGAGCAGAGCGTAGCAGCTCCTGGTAGGACGCTCATGACCCACATCACTGAACCAGATAGAAGCAGGGAAAATATCCCAAGTAATAGAACGGCTTGACTTGACCCTTGGGTCAGATATGTCTGTGTTTCAATCACCATTGTCACCTTCTAATTTTGTCACCTTGAAAATATGATTGTATTTATTTTAACTTCACTTTTTCATTAACTGTAAATTATGTTTTATCAGTAGAGCTTCAAAGGTATGAGAATATTTATAAAGCACATTAAGTTGGTGAATTTTGAATAAAATTAAGTAGTAATGTATTTCATTTGTTAAAAATTGTTACTTACCTATTTCCTCAGCAGAATGAGTGTAGCATGTCTCCCAGGTCTGTTTTTTATTTGTTTGAGAGGTGATTTCAAGCAGAATCTCACAGCTTACTGTTGGAAATGCTATCAGTTGTAAAGATAGGGAAAATCTCTCTTCCACTACGGTGGTAGGAAATGAATACATATCTGCAAGCACATGAGGTAGATTAATTGTCAAATTACATAAATTTATCACATAAGTTATTCTTTTTTTCAAAAGAGAGAACTTGTGAAAGTGAATAACTCTATTCCATATGCTGCCATCTGGGTGTTTGAGGGTAATGTTAAGTTTTAGGAGCTGGGACTTTGCACCTCCTGGAAGTGTTCACATATGATTAATTGTTTACTAAATGATTTGTTTTGAACATAATTAAATTACATGTTTATTTTCTGAAAGGGATAGATACTTTGGCTTTTCTTGATGAATTATAAGATATAAGCCCCTTATAATGTTTTTATTTTATTTTATTCTGTTATTTTTTAGATGTAGTTTCACTCTTCTTGCCCAGGCTGGAGTGCAATGGCAAGACATCTGCTCACTGTAACCTCCAACTCCTGGGTTCAAGCGATTCTCCTGCCTCGGCCTCCCGAGTAGCTGGGATTACAGGCATACAACACCACACCTGGATAATTTTGTATTTTTAGCAGAGACGGGGTTTCTTCATGTTGGTCAGGCTGGTCTCAAACTCCTGATCTCAGGTCATCTGCCCGCCTAGGCCTCCCAAAATGTAGGGATTACAGGCATGAGTCACCATGCCCGGCTGTAATTTCCTCTCTTTTATATCTTAGATTTGAATAATTTTTGCTGGATTCTTCAAACATGAAGTATTTTTTGAATTGAAAACTAACTGAATGACTAACTGGTAAATAGAAGTCTTAGACCATTGACTAAAAGCTAAGGCCCACCTTGACCCTGCAAAAGAGGACCACTGAAGGCCCAGTTGATTATTCCTGGGTGTCTGCCCTGCAGGTGTCCAAGCCTACTCACACCAACCATGGAAGGAGCCTTTGTCACTGCCAGAAGATATAGAGCCTTGGTAAGCTGGAAGTTCACAGGCAGATGCAGTTGAGGTTGAGATAGAAGAAATGTTGGGAGATTCTTTTTAGAATGGAATTGTTATTGTCCTCAGACTGTTTCTAGACTTGGTCTAAGAAGTTACCTAAGAAGTATTGCAACAAAGAAAAAGTACAAATGATTAGATCTTTGAGTATCTCTAAGGTTAGGTGGAAAAGGGCCTTATTTCATAGGGAGGAGAAAACAAGTTTACAAAGAAGGTTGGAAAGGAAGCACACGATGGAGGGTAGCAAAATGCGATCCCAGATAAGATAATGTTTCACCTTGAACTCAGCCTGTTCTTAGGAGGGGTATGTATAAATAAGGGTTGTAGGTTTGCTGAAGCTGTGGGTGAGTCAAAGTTCAGGGGCTGGTTGGAAGAAGAGAAACAAGCAAAGTTTCTTTAAGAGTATGTTATTTGGACCACTGAAGACTAAATTACTGAATGGTTGTTCATTTTTAAAAATGGGAATTTGCAATCTGTGTCCATTTTTGTGATAGGTTAAAAAAACAGCAGGGAGCATCCTCAAAGTCATCAGGGGAAGCACGTTTCTCTTCACTAAGCTGTTCTTTGAGAATGCAAAGAATGGGGGAATTTCTTTAAATATAGCTATTTCCAGGATTGCCTTCACCCACAACTGTTCCTTGCCCTAGACATCTCTTCCATTTGGCTGTTTCTGAGTTATATTTTTATAATAAAGTAGTAAATATAATTACAGTTATTTGTTGAGGTTTTCTTTTTAGTAATTCTATCAAATTATTTAACTTGAAAAGGGGTTTATGCTAGTCTCAGATTTATAGGAGGTAGCTCAGAAGTGTAGATGGGCTTCAGGGATGTGTAACTCTCCTCTACAGTGAGAGGGGTGATGTGGGACTGAGCCCTGAATTTCTGGGATCTGTGTGAACTCTAAGTTGTGTCAGAATTAAATTTTGGGGCAACAAATGGGTGTTGGAGAAGCAGTGGGTTTTCAGGGAACTTTACACATTTAGGATCAAAAGTGTTGTAAGGAGAAAGACAATGTGGGGGCCTCTGCTGGAGAGAGACTCCAGGTGTCTCGGGGAAGGTAGGCTCTGCTCTGCACACAGGCTGCTACACCATGCACTGCCCTGTGGTTCCAGGCATTCTCCCATGGTAAGAAGGACCGACGACTCTGAGGGAAGAAGTTCTGAGAACAGATGCCTTCTACCCTCCTGCCAACCTGAGGCCACCACAGGTTTTTCACCCACTGAACATACACACTGCATGTTGATGTGGCCAAGCCCCTCTCAGGACAAGGCTTTGGCATCAAGATTGTTGCCCATGCTACCTTTCCTCATAGACTTTCCCACCAAAAACCCACACATGTGCCTACAAGACCCCTGGCATACGTTCTACCTCAGACACCGAATCTGCAGGGGCAACCTGGTTTTTTCACCATCCCAGGTTTCTGTGCCACCTGATCATAATCTCGTCTTCCTGCATGGACACAGAAATAAGTCAGAGTAAAGTTTCACCTGGGTCAGTATCTGTAGCATGAACCAGTCCTTCCACCAACCCTGTACTGTCTCCCAACTGTGGGTTCTTAATAGCACCTTCCCCTCTTTTACCTTTTAGTTCACCTCAAACCTTTTATTTACGTGCACTTAGTGTGTCCAAGCCACCCCTCAGTTGCCTGAATCCAGCACCTACTAAAATTCAGATGTCCAGTAGTTCAAGACCATGGGCCTAGACCATGTTTTTGCAGAAGGAAATACATATTAGAAATGAGAGGCTCTATTCTCCCATTTGAAAATTAAAAAAGATATTTTTTCTTTTCCCTTTTCTTAAACAATGTAATTTAGAGAACTTTTTTTAGTAATTTTTTGAAATGGAATCTTACTCTTTTGCTTAGTCTGAAGTGCAATGGCATAATCATAGCTCACTATAACCTTAACTTCTTGGGTTTGAGCAGTCCTCCTGCCTCAACCTCTTAATTACCTAGGACTATAGGCATGCACCTCCAGGCCTAGCTAACTTTTTATTTATTTATTTATTTATTTATTTATTTATTTATTTATTTATTTTTTCAAGACAGTGTCTTGCTCTGTGGGCCAGGCTAGAGTGTAGTGGCATGATCTTAGCTCAATGCAACCTCCGCCTCCCAAGTTCAAGCAATTCTCTTGCTTCAACCTTTTGAGTAGCTGGCATTACAGGCGCACAGCACCATGCCTGGCTAATTTTTTATTGTTATTATTTTTAGGAGAGAAAGGGTTTCACCATTTTGGCCAGGCTGGTCTCGAACCCCTGACCTCATTATCCACCTGCCTCCGACTCCCAAAGTGCTGGTATTACAAGCGTGAACCACCATGTCCAGCCATATTTATTTTATTTATTTTTTTATGGTGACAGAATTTCACCATGTTGCCTGTACTGGACTCAAACATTTGGCTTCAAGAGATCCTCCTGCCTTGGCCTCCCCAAATGTTGGGATTACAGGCATGAACAGCCGTGCCTGGCCTGGAAAACTTTTATATGTATCTTTTTTTCTCTGCTTCTTTGAAATATAAGCAAATCATTTTAACAGCTAAATAAGCCTTTTGCCACTCTTCATGACACAGAATTGTCTTTGTCTAAGACCTGGAAACTATTGTTTTGTTTTTTAATTTGGCAAAGATTTATTGATTTTTTATTTTCAGTCTTTTGAAGTAGGCACAGCTCAGTACAGTGGCTCATGTTTTTAATCCCAGTGCTTTGGGAGGCTGAGATGAGAGAATTGCTTGGGCCCAGGAGTTTGAGACCAGCCTGGGCAGCCTAATGAGTCTCCTTCTTTATAAAAAATTAAAATCAACTAGCAGGGCATGGTGGCACAGGAGGCTGAGGTGAGAGAATCATTTGAGCCCAAGAGTTTGAAGCTGCAATGAGCCATGATCACAGCACTCTACCACAGTACTCCAGCTTGGGTAACAGACGGAGACCTGTCTCTAAATAAATAAGTAAATAAAAAAAAGTGTTTTTCCATACATAAAAATAAGTAAATAAACAGATAAATAAAATAGACATGGATTTGCTGAGAATAAAGCTAATTACAAGATAACAGAAAAGTGAGAACCAAAGATGGGGTTCACCCTAGCAAATGATTCCAGCCTATTAGAACACTCAGAATTTTCCCTGCAGCATGACCGACATGAAAGTAGAATGTCATCATGTCAGGCTGTACCAGCGTCGGGAGACTAAACACTGTGGGGAAGAACCTCCCTTATGGAATATTATCAACAGGTGAGAGCCCAGCTCCTGCCCTGATGGGCTACAGAAATGAGTTCCTGAGATAACACATTGCAGAAACATGCATAGAGTAGTTTAACCTTTTTTGTGTGTAACCCTTTCTCCATTTTCCTGCGAAATCCTCCCTAGTAATAGTGTTAGCTTTTAAGTTTTGAGGGTCCGATAGGACTGAAGCTGCATGCTGCAGGAGATACGTGGGGCCGGAAACTAACACAAACTGCAGCCACAGGCATAAATACTCATGGCCTAATGTAAAGTGAAAACTATACAAAATTCTTTACCGTTATTCGCACAAGTGTGTGAAGAGAGACTTTCCACATAACCAACTTGCCACTGAGACTAGTGAAGGCCAGATTCCACTGGAACAAGGCTATGAGTTACTCATGGGAAGGCCGTAGGACAAAGCCCAGAGATTTTTCATATTTGAGTCTGGGTCCTGTTTCTTTCCCTGTCTTCTCAGCTTTCTGTCTGTAGAGACCCCTATGTGGCTGCTCTCAGCACAGCCCAGTGCTGGCTGTGTTTGCTGGTTTAGTGCACCTGCTCTTTTTCCAAAAAGAGGGAGGAGTTGGCCACATTAAACTGAATGATGAAGCTCCTCATCAATCTGAATGCAGCTTTGTAAATGTGCCTAGAAACCACGCAAAGAAAAGTCTGTGTTCTTCCTTGCTTTGACCGTATGTGACACCTCCATTAGAAATTCTGCTTTTCTCTGCACTCCAGCCTGGGTAACAGAGTGAGACTTCATGATAAATAAAAAAGAAAGAGAGAGAGAAGGAAAGAAAGAAAGAGAGAGATGGAAAGAAAGAAAGAGAAAGAAAAAAAAAAGAAAGAAGAAAGAAAGAAAGAGAAAGAAAAGAAAAGAGAAAAGAAGAAAGGAAAAAAGAAAAGAAGAAAGGAAAAAAGAAAAAAGAAAATAAAAGAAATTCTTCTCTTCAGATTAGGCACATAAGGAGAATCTGTATAAATCTCCATGAAGGAAGGAAACCAGAGGACAAGTTAAAGTCTTGGAATTCACATCTGAGTACACAGACTCGTTCTCCAACCCTCTTCTTTTTATTCTGCCAGCTATGGCCTAGGTATGAACATGACAGGTACACAAGAGTTCCAACACCCGACAATCTACTTCAGTCCAAGAAGAGTGCCCTCCCTCTTGCTCCCCATCCAACTCATGGTACTAAGAAGTGGTGTGGGACTGCCCAGATGAGTTGACAAGAGAGGCTGGCGTGGAGGGGCCTGTCCTGGGCTGCCCTGTGTTATTTGTAGGTGCACCCGGCCAAAAGCCAGGGACATCAGTGATGAGGGCTCAGTTGACATCTGTGTTATCAGATAAGACTTTTACATTGAGCCTTTGTAAGGCTGAAACTCAGAAATTTCAGGGCACAATGAAAGAGCATCTCACTCTCTTGAGCAACTCTCACAAACAGAGGTGGATACAGAGCTGTCTCAAGAATGTGGATTCCTGGTTTCTTAACTGCTGTTGGGTTCTGACACCAAGAAAGTATGTTAAACTCTTCAAGGTTCCATCTACTGGGCCCCATGTTTCTGTAAGACATACCGAAAGGCCCCACTATGCTACTGATTGCTCAGTCTCCTCTTCCATGTCAACTCTTTATTTGTACACAATTATGCAAACACAACTTCCCCTTAATTCCCTGGAAAGACCTAAATGCAACCTGGGTTCCAGGATAGAAGAGACAGCTGGAACATAACCTTGTTTTTCTTACCATCTCTGGGACCCAGTAAAAGTCACTGTATTCAAGGCTTCCCCAGCCTCCTAACATGCACACTGGTGATGATGCTAACATCTACTTCCTAGGGAATGTATTAGGTGTATATAAGATAAGACATAAAAATAATGATGTAGTGTCACCTGTAGATAATGCATACACTTAGAGATGGAAGCATTAGGAGAATAGGTGGGAGGTAGCATGGGCCACAACTCAAACAGGCCTGGTGTCTGCCAGGGTGATCTTGGAAATATCACTTCTCCACTGGGCCTCATTTTCATTCTGCTCCAGTATGAAGTTGAAATTAAATGTAGATACTGTCCTCTGGCATTCATATAGTTTAGCTGTGCGTCCCCACCCAAAACTCATTGTGTATTATAACCCCTAGGTGTTAAGGGAAAACCTGAGGGGAGATGATTGGATTATGGGGACGGGTTCTCCTCATGCTGTTCTTGTGATAGTGAGTTCTCACGAGATCTGATAGTTTCATAAGCATCTGGTACATCCCATGCTCTCACTCACTTCACTTGTCAGCCACTGTAATTGGAAGGTTTCTGAGGTGCCCCCACAATTATGTGGAAATGTGAGTCAATTAAACTTCTTTACTTTATAAGTTACCCAGTCTCAGGTACTCCATCATTGCAGTATGAGAATGATCTAATACAGGAATTCAACTTTCTAGTGCTTTCTCTTTATATTTAGAATCATATCCATGTGCCTTATCACGTCTATGACAGAGGAAGTCTTCACAAAGTCTCCCAGTACTAGGTATTGAGTGACTCAGTTTTTTATTGAATAAAATGGAATACTTCCTGATGCCAGTACTATGGCCCTTCGGTTTTGAGGAAAATATCATCTTGTATGTTGGCTAACAAGGAGATAGGAGTTCAAATCAAATTTGTTTTGTCATACTGGCTTTAAGGCAGTGATTAGAAAAGGCCTAATAGGTGGGTTCTGTAGGGGATTGCTGGAAGGAAAGTAGGAATATGGAAAGTCATGAGACATATACAGTCATCTCTTCTTGTTTCCTCACAGGTCACATACAAATTCAGGGAGAGTTAGTATGAAGCACACAATGGAAATTTGGGCTCCAAAGTCTGCAAAGTGATGCTTCATGGACTTCAGTTGGCAATATTGGTTCCAACAATTTCAGCCAATGTTTAAAAAACTTATAGCAGTTAAATTTTTAGTGTTTCAACAAGCCGTTTCCTATCTTTCATTCTGAAGATCCATTTTTTAAGTCTTTTTTTTTAACAGTATAGGGGGTACAAATTCAGCTTCTCTCCAATGAAACACAGAAAAGGATATCACTTTTGTATTAGTTCAGGCTGCTATGCCAAAGAACCATAGATAGGCAGCATATAGACAACAGGACTTAATTTCTCATACCTCCAGAGGTTCAAATTTGAGATCAGGGTGTCAGCATGGTTGAGATCTGGTGATGACTGGCTTCTGAATTTCAGCCTGCACACTTCAGGTTTTACCCTCATTTTGCAGGAGGATGAGAGCCCTCTGCGGTTTCTTGTATAAAGCCAGTAATCTGTATTATGAGGGTCCCACCCTAAGGGTTTAATTACATTCTACCTCCTTATAGCATTACGCCCGGGGTTACAATTTTAACACAAATATAGAAGAAAAATTATAGTAACTCTCAAGTTTTTTTTCTTTCTTTCTTTCTTTCTTTTTTTTTTTTTTTTTTTTTTTTTTTGAGACACAGTTTCACTCTTGTATCCCAGGCTGGAGTGCAGTGGTGTGATCTCGGCTTATTGGAACCTTTGCCTCCCAGGTTCAATTGATTCTCCTGCCTCAGTCTCCCAAGTAGCTGGGATTACAGGCATGCGCCACCACATCTAGCTCATTTTGTATTTTTAGAAGAGACGGTGGTTTCACCATGTTGTCCAGGTTGGTTTCAAACCCTTGACCTCAGGCGATCCACACGTCTCAGCATCCCAAAGTGCTGGGATTACAGGTGTGAGCCACCGCACCCTGTCAAGATGTTTTTAAAGCTCTAATTTTTCTCCTACTGGGTTTTTCTCGTTTGCGCCCTCGATCTTTCTGTCTCTTTTTGTGTAAACCTTTTTGTCTAATTCTGTCTATTGTATTCCTCAAACACAGGAAGCAAGCTCCAATGCTATGAGATGCTCCATGTAGAGACCCACATAACAAAGGGTGAGAGGGTGCTCAGACGAGTAGAGAGAAGGAAAGTCAGGCTCTCCAGCCACACTAAACCCTGTCAATTTTCACATGAGTCAGCTTAAAGGCTCATGCTTTCCCAGTCCAGCTTCAGTTAAGACCACAGCCCCCAGTCTCATAAAAGACCTGAAGGCAGAGGTAGCCAGCTGAGCTGTGTCCAGATTCTGGTCCACACACATTATGAGATATTATATGTTGTTGAAAAGTGCTGACTTTTAGGGCAATGTTGTCAGAAAGGAGCAGATATCTAACCTCATCTCCCAGGCCCTAGGATTCTCCATCCCTCTGCTTATCTCTTTCTCAGGCTGTCTGCAGCCAAACTAGTCCCTTTTTACCTCTGCCAAACTCACACCTATGAGTTTTTTCACTAAGGGTGGCTTCTCCCTGACACATGCTTGTGCAGATGCCTCCCTGCTGTCATCCTCATCATGGATTAAAAGTCACCTCAGTGAGGCCTGAGGTCCTCCCATGCAATAATTTTCCAGGTTTTCTTCTCAATAATCTACTTTATATTATAGTCCTTGCTCTTTTCTTTCACATATACTTGCTTTAGTGCTTTTGTCCAGCGGTCCTCAGATTGTTTGGTCCTGGGTTGGGGGGTGCAGACATGAAGTAATAATTTTCTGTACCACATGTTGGACCCACCAGGGTCGCTGGCAAATGGTGAGCGCAAGGGAAAAAAGACTGGCTAAGTGATTATATGGGGGATCCCTAATATCCCTTCCCCTTTTGACCACCTGATAATGTGGACATCACTGATAACAACATGAGGTGTGTGACTGTTACTTGTTCCAGCTGCTCCAGCAAAGCTCAGTGGGCACCAGAAACACAGTAGGCTGTAACCACCTCCTGGCCATCACTAACCCTACAGCCCCAAGCAGGAGCACTACTGAACAAATCTGATACCTTGATTTTTCTGTCCTCAAGACACTGGTTCTTCAAGGTCCTAGGGGATAAAGTAGCAGGATCTGAAGGCCCCAAGTATAATGAGTGAACTAGGAATCCCGTTTTGCCCTCTCTTTGCCTCCACCTTTTTGGTTGTGCTATTTACTCATGAGGTATCCTCCCCTTATCCAGTGAAATTATTTTCTACCACTTTCAAATGAGGACCTTAAGAACGCAACAGTAGCTGAGATTTTCCGTGGACCTCAGCCTCAGAGTCCAGTGCTCTGGCACATTTAACTCTGTCTCATCTTCATCTACCCAAGATGCCTCTCAAGTGGCCATGCCTCCCTCTGATTTGAAGGATCTGCAGAGTGGGTGCATTTTTGCAGTCTCAGAGCAAGAATCCAGGCTGGCAGACACTTATGAGTATGTGAAATCATCAAGGTCACCCACTTCAGGCACCCCTATTTATGAGGAAGAAAACAAGCTTTCCTGTAGGCACTGTCTACATTAGGCTGAGGTGGAGCATAGCTCATTTTACTTCCAGTTGCCCTCAGAGCTGGATGCAGAACCCCAGTCCTGTTATCTTGAAACTGACATGGAGAGGACCCCATGTGAACAGAACCCTGAATCTGCTCATTTTCTGTGCTCCTGAATGTGTAGCTACAGACTCTAATTTCGAAAACAAACCTGATAAGTGGGACGGTGCCAAGGCCTAGGAAGCTGGAGCCCTCTCTAATGCTCTGGAGCCTGCCCACCTCCTGAGATCTGGACCAGTCTCTGCCTCTTCTGGGGCCTCAGTTTCCCAATTGTAATGTAATGAGAAATTAAATGTAAAACTGCATAAACATATGCTCTGTGAGAATTTGGTGTCAGAGTTCTCAATACTGGATGATAATTTGGAGTGGGGTGGGTTTGGGACCCATGGGTTCTCAGGCCTCCTTTCACACCCAGTGCAGTAGGTGTAGAGCTCTGGACAGCCAGGTGTTCTTTCCTGAGCCAGCTGATTACAACACAATGGACCAAGGGCTCTGATCTTAAATATGGTTTCACAGGATACCCCACCTTCAGCCACCACCTGCTCTGTGCTTCCCATATTTTGGGGAGCTGATGACAAACCCCATTATAGTGAAGAAGAACAAGAAACTAGACTTGTGGGCCTGGGGAAAAGAAAAAAACACTTCTATTTCTCCCAAACTGTAGAATCTCTTGTCAAATATTTAATTTTGATTATATCTGAGCTTGATAATACATTCATGTGTTAACAGCTGCTTAAATTTATTTTTTCTGTGAAGTGTGGGATAATGTCTTTGCCGTATTTTAAATCAAATTCTAAAAGCTCTCTTTAGAGTGGATAAGTGAGCATCTTTGTAATATAAACTTCACATATTTGTTGCCAGTTTGTTCTTTTTGTTTTTGTTAAAATGTTTTGTTTTATTCTGATTTGGATGTCTTTTGGCGTTTTGCTTTGTGGCTATTTATTATGACAGTGTAACTTCTCCTCTAATTGACTGACGGTTTGTACATTCTCAATAAAATATTTTCATAAAATCTTTGTAAAAATTGTGTAGTCAATTTTACATTACATAAACATAAAACAGTAAAGACTATCACGATGAAAAAGGAAGATTGAGGGCTTAAAAAGTAAAATACGACACAGCTAAAGTAGTCTGAAAGGGAAATTTACAGCACTAAATCCCCACAAGAGAAAGCAGAAAAATGTCTAAAATCGACACCGTAACATCACAATTAAAAAAACTAGGGAAGCAAGAGCAAACAAATTCAAAAACTAGCAGAAGACAAGATTTAAGATCAGAGCAGAACTGAAGGAGATAGAGACACAAAAAGCCCGTCCAAAAAATCAATGAATCCAGGAGCTGGTTTTTTTAAAAGATCAAGAAAATAAATAAACTTCTAGCCAGACTAATAAGGAAGAAAAGAATCAAATACATGCAATAGGAAATGATAAAGGGGATATAACCGTTGATCCCACAGAAATAAAAAGTATCATTACAGAATATTATAAATACCTCTTTGCAAATTAACTAGAAAATCTAGATGAAATGGATAAATTCCTGGACACATATACCCTCCCAAGTGCAAACCAGTAGGAAGTCGAATCCTTGAATAGGCCAATAACAAGTTCTAAAATTGAGGCAGTAATTAGTAGCCTACCAACAAAAAGAAGTCCAGGACCAGACGGATTCACAGCCGAATTCTACCAAAGGTACAAAGAGGAGCTGGTACCATTCCTTCTGAAATTATTTCAAACAATAGAAAAAGAGGTACTCCTCCCTAATTCATTTTATGTGGCCAGCATCATCCTGAAACCAAAACCTGGCAAAGACACACCAGAAAAAGAAAATTTCAGGCCCATATCCCTGATGAATATCGATGCGAAAATCCTCAATAAAATACTGGCAAACCGAATCCAGCAGCACATCAAAAAGCTTATCCACCACGATCTAGTCAGCTTAATCCCTGGGATACAAAGCTGGTTCAACATATGCAAATCAATAAATAAAATCCATCACATAAACAGAACTAATGACAAAAACCACATGATTATCTCAATAGATGCAAAAAAGGCCTTCAATAAAATTCCACACCTCTTCATGGTAAAAACTCTCAATGAATTATGTATTGATGGAACCTATCTCAACATAATAAGAGTTATTTATGACAAATGCACAGCTAATATCATACTGAATGGGCAAAAACTGGAAGCATTCCCTTTGAAAACCTGCACAAGACAAGAACACCCTTTCTCCCCACTCCTATTCATTATAGTATTGGAAGTTCTGGCAATCAGCAAAAGAAAGAAAGAAATAAAGCGTATTCAGATAGGAAGAGAAGAAGTCAAATTGTCTTTGTTTGCAGATGACATGATTGTATATCTAGAAAACCCTACCATCTCAGCCCAAAATTTCCTTAAACTGATAAGCAACTTCAGCAAAGTCTCAGGATACAAAATCAATGTTCAAAAATCACAAGCATTCCTATACGCAATAATAGGCAAACAGAGAGCCAAATCATGTGTTAACTCTCATTCACAATTGCTACAAAGGGAATAAAATACCTAGGAATCCAACTTAAAAATGATGTAAAGGACCACTTCAAGGAGAACTACAAACCACTGCTCAAGGAAATGAAAGAGGACACAAACAAACGAAAACAATCCATGCTCATGGATAGGAAGAATCAATATTATGAAAATGGCCATATTGCCCAAAGTAATTTATAAATTCATTGCTATCCCCATCAAGCTCCCATTGACTTTCTTCACAGAATTAGAAAAAAAACTACTTCAAATTTCATATGGAATCAAAAAAGGTCTTGCATAGACAAGACAATACTAAGCAAAAAGAACAAAGGTGGAGGCATCATGCTAGCTGTCTTCAAACTATACTAAAAGGCCACAGTAACCAAGACAGGATGGTACTCGTACCAAAACAGATATATTGACAAATGGAACAGAACAGAGGCCTCAGAAATAACACTCAACATCTAGAATCATCTGATCTTTGATGAACCTGACAAAAACAAGTAATGGGGAAAGGATTCCCTATTTAATAAATGGTGTTGGAAAACTAGCTAGCCATATGCAAAAAACTGAAACTGGACTTCTTCCTTACTCGTTATACAAAACATAACTGAAGATGGATTAAAGACTTAAACATAAGACTTAAAACCATAAAAACCCCAGAAGAAAACCAAGGCAGTACCATTCAGGACATAGGCATGGGCAAAGACTTCATGACTACAACACCAAAAACAATGGCAACAAAAGCCAAAATTGACAAACGAGATATAATTAAACTAAAGAGCTTCTGCACAACAAAAAAAACTATATCAGAGTGAACAGGCAACCTAAAGAATGGGAGAAAATTTCTGCAATCTATCCGTCTGACAATGGGCTGATATGTAGAATCTACAAAGAACTTAAACAAATTTACAAGAAAAAAAGAAACAACAACATCGAAAATGGGCAAAGGATTTGAACAGACACTTCTCAAAAGGAGACATTTATGCAGCCAATAAACAAATGAAGAAAAGGACATCATCACTGGTTATTAGACACATGCAAATCAAAAACACAATGAGAAACCATCCCACACCTGTTAGAATGGTGATCATTAAAAAAATCAGGAAACAACAAAGGATGTGGAAAAATAGGAAGACTTATACACTGTTGGTGAGAGTGTAAATTAGTTCAACCAGTGTGGAAGACAGTGTGGTGATTCCTCAAGGATCCACAATGAGAAATACCATTTGACCCAGCAATCACATTACTGGGTATATACCCAAAGGATTATAAATTATTCTATTATAAAGATACATGCATACGTATGTTTATTATGGCACTGTTCACAAGAGCAAAAACTTTGAAACAAACCAAATGACCATCAATGATAGACTGAATAAAGAAAACTTGGCATGTCCACATCATGGAATACGATGCAGTCATAAAAAGGATGAGTTCATGTCCTTTGCAGGGACATGGATGAAGCTGGAAACCACCATTCTCAGCAAACTAACACAAGAGTAGAAAAGCTAACATCGCATGTTCTCACTCATAATAGGGAGTTAAACAAAGAGAACACACGGACACAGGAAGGGGAACATCACACACTGGAGCCTGTCGGGAAGTGGGGGACTATGGGAGGGATAGCATTAGAAGAAATATTCCTGGCCTAGGCCACTATTGCGATTTTCTAAATTTTGTTTCAAAAACATGATATGTTTCAAAAATTGTTATTGGTATGTAATTATATAAATATATAGTTCAGAAAAAAGAATCAACATTAATTATGCTTTTTCCAAAATACTTTATGGTTTTGAGCTCTTCTAGCAGTGACATTTTTGCTGTAGGTAATTGCTGTGTATCTGGTATATTCATCATAGCATACTTTGTGCCGTTTACACTTATCCTTCAATTTCCCACTCTCCTAAGTGTAAAAGTTCAAGGCCAGAGCTCCCATATCTTCCCAATATTACTTTTTGAAAAGAAGCTTCTATGTACTGTTTTCTCTGGGTCTTGATTGGATATATTGCTAAAAGAGCTGAAAAATAATAATTTTTTTAAAAATTCGGTGATGAGATTAAAGTAAATATATTTTATAAATCTAATGTACAAAATGAGGTCAGCTGAGAAGACAATGACAGTTGAAGCAGAACCTGAGATCCTGTTTCTCTCCATTGACATATGAACTTAACTACAATTGGGCGAACAAAGCCAGTTGAGTTTGTAGCACCCCACATGAGAAAAAAGCCAACCATAACCACATTTAGAAGAAAATTTGGTCACATTTGTGCACTACAGAACAGCGCAGTTAGATAAAAATCTGTCCATTCCATGATTCTCCTTTGGGAAAGAAAAAAGAGTGAAATGCGTATGCAAACTTCTGACTTACTGAGTTATACCGGGGTTATCTAAAGACTGGAAATTGCTTCCTTTAACATTTAGTGTTGATGAGAATAGAGACTGAGTTTAAATGACAGCTTGGGTCAACTGAGAATAAAGATAAATGCTTCTTACAACAACAGAGACTGTAGTGCCTACAACAGTGACGAAGGGAAGAGACTAAAGGCTCCTAAGAGGAAACAGAGGTAAACCTTATTAACAAGAAAATACATACAGTAGTCCAAAGAAGACACATTTTGACAACAGATTGGAGAAGCTCCCAGTATGACTACTGTGGCTGAATGTTGTCAATTTTCCCATGTATAAAGCTCTTTCATAAAGGATAAAATAGGTAGTGGTTTCTTAATTGATCAAAACCTTAACAAAACTACAGTAAGTAAAAGCAACCAGGAAATATAACCTAATCAAAGGAGAAAAATATATATTCAAGTGAACCTAAAGAAGTGGAGATCTAGGAATTATTTTTTTAACTTAAAATCTTTTTATTTTTCTTTACTTTTTCATTTTATGCAGAGGATCTTACTTTATCTCCTGGGACAGAGTACACTGGTGGAATCACAGCTCACTGTAACCTCAAATTTCGGAAGTCAAGCAGTCATGCCACCTATGTCTCCTGAGTAAATATGACCACAGTTGTGCACATTACCCCTCCTGTATAGTTTCTTTAAAAAAATTTGTACAAACAGTATGTTGCTGTGTTGCCTCGGCTGGTCTCAAACTCCTGGTCTCAGGCAATCCGACTGCTTCAGTCTGAAAGTGCTGGCACAAGCTACCATACCTGGAATTGTTTCTCTTTTAAGAAAAAATAGCTTTAAATCATTAATAGTAAAATAAAACAAAGAAAGGTATTGCGTAACGATAAAGGGTTCAATTCAACAAGAAGACTTAACTATCGTAAATGTAGATGCACCCAACTTTGGGGAACATAGAGTTATACAACAATTACTGCTAGAACTACAATAAGCCTCAAGTAGACACACAATAATAGTAGGGGAATGCAACTCCCCACTAAGTGTTTGACAGATTATCTAGGCAGAAACTTAACAAAGAAATTCTGGAGTTTGATTCGACACTTGATCAATTGAAACTAATAGACATTTATAGTATATGCAACACATCATCTAAAGAAAGTAAATTCTTCTCATCTGCTCACAGAATATGACAGGCCACAATGGAACAAAGATAAAAATCAATACCAAGAAAATCTCACAAAATCACAGAATGATATTGAAATTAAACAACTTGCTCCTGAATGAATTTTGGATAAACAAAAAAATTAAGGCAGAAAATTAAAAAGATTTTGAAATAGAAGAGACACAATATAACAAAATGTCTGGGTTGTAGGAAGAGCTCTGTTAAGAGGAAAGTTGAGAGTGCTAAATACCTGCATCAAGAAGTTAGAATGATCTCAAACTAACAATTTAACATCACACTTAGAGAAACTAGAAAAATAAAAACTAACTTACCCCAAAGCTAGCAGAATGGCAAAAATATTCATAACCTATGAACCTGACAAAATCTAATACTCAGAATCTATAAGAAACTTAAAGAATTCACAAGGAAAAAATTACCCCATGAAAAAGTGGGCAATAACAGACACTCTTCAAAAGAACACATACAAGTGGCCAAATAACATGAAAAAAGCTTATCATCACTAACCATCAAGGAAATGTAAATAAAAACCACAATAAGACACCATTGTACACCAGTTAGAATGGTTTTTGTTAAAAAGTAAAATGATAATAGATGTTGATGGGGTTTTAGAGGGAAAAAACCACTTATACACTGTTAATAGGAATGTAAATTAGTTCAGCCACTGTGGAGAACAGCTTGGAGATTTTCCAAATAACTGAGAGTTAAACTGTGATTCAACCCAGCAATTTCACCGCTGGGTATATACCCAAAAGAGAATAAACTATTCTACCAAAATAGCACATGCACTTGTTGGTTCATCACTACACTATTCATAAGAGGAAGGACCTGAATCAACCTACGTGCCTATTCATGGTAATTTTTTATTTTTTTGAGATGACGTCTCACTCTGTTGCCCAGGCTGGAGTGCAGTGGCACGATCTCAGCTCACTACAATCTCCACCTCCCAGGTTCAAGCAATTCTCCTTCCTCAGCCACCCGAGTAGCTGGGACTATAGGCGCATGCCACCAAGCCTGGCTAACTTTTGTATTTCCAGTACATACGGGGTTTCATTACGTTGTCCAGGATGGTCTCGATCTCCTGACCTCATGATCCACCCGCCTTGGCCTCCCACAGCACTGGGATTACAGGCATCAGCCACCATGTCCAGCCTATTGATGGTAAATTGAATTTAAAAAGTGTCACATGTACAGCAATACTACTTAGCAAAAACAAACAAAAAAAACCTCCTTTGCAGCAACGTTAACACAACTAAAGGCCATTATACAAAGCAAATTAATGCAGAAATGGAAAATGAAAATACTGCATATTCTCACTTATAAATGGAAATTAACACTGGGTACACATGGACAGAAAAACAAAAATAATAGACAACTCTTAGAGGGTGGAGAGAGGGAGGGACCAAGAACTGAAAAACTGTCTACTTAGTACTATGCTCACTACCTGATTGATGGAATTACTCATACTTCAAACCTCAGCATTATACAAAATACCCATGTAAAAAACCTGTGTAGGTACCTCCTAAATCTAAAATAAATTTGAAATTCTAAAAAGAGGTCTTACTCTCTCACCCAGACAGGAATACAATACGATGATTATAGCTCAATGCAGCCTCAAGTTCCTGGGGAACTCAAGGAATAATCTTACGTCAGCCTCCAACTTCCTGAGACTACAGGAACATTCCACAATGCCTGAGTAATCTGTGAAAATATTTTTTACCAATAGCTTGTCACAATATTGCCCGGGGTAGTGTCGAACTCCTGGATTTAAGTAATTGACAGGGTTTGGCTCTGTGTCCCCAATCAAATCTCATCTTAAATTGTAATAATCCCCACATGTCCTGGGAGGGACCCTGTGGGAGGTAATATTTTTATCAAAATATCAATGACATTTTTTCACAGAAATAGAAAAAATATTTTAAATTTATGTGGATCCACAAAAAACTCTGAATAGACAAATAACTTTGAGCAAAATAAGCAAAGCTAAAGGCATCACTTTATCAAACTTCAAAACTTGCTACAAAGCTATAGTAACCAAAAGAGCACTGTACTGGCATAAAAACAAACACATAGACTAATGTGCCCAAGAAGCCCAGAAGTTAGTTTATGCACCTAAAGCCAACTGATTGTCAACAAAATTGCCAAGAACACACTTTAGGGAAAAGCTAATTTCTTCAATAAATGATGCAGGGCCATTTAAATATTTAAATTCAGAAAAATTATACTAGACCCCTGTGCCTTGCCATATATGAAAATCAATTCAAACTAAAGACTTAAATGTAATGCTATCAATTATGAAACTATTAGAGAAAAACTAAAAAATGCTTTATAACATTCGACGGGGAAAGGATTATTAAAATAACATGTCAAAACATAGGCAACAAAATCAAAAATAAGCAAACAACATTATGTCAAACTAAAATGCTTTTCCATATTAAAAAAACTAAAAGATTGAAGAGACAGCTTAGGCAATAAAAGAAAATGCTTTCAGGCTATACATATGACAAAAGGCTAATATTCAGAATAAATAAGAAACTTTAAAATCTCAAAATAAAATACACTTATAATCTAATTAAAAAAATGCAAAAGATCTTAATAGATGTTTGTCAAAAAGTGATACAAAAATGGCTAACTGGAACATAAAAATATGTTCTACATTACTAATCACTAAGGAAATGAAAATCCAAACCACAATGAGGTACCGCCTCACTCCCATTTAGAATGGCTATAATAAAAATAAATAAATAAATAAAACAAGTACTAATGAGGATATAAAATGAGTGAATGTATACATTGTTGGTGGAATTGTAAATTAGTATGGCCACTATAGAAAATACTATGGAGGTTTCTGAAAGAAATTAAAAATAGATGTATTACATGATCCAGCAATTTTACTCCTGCATGTATATACAAAAGAAAGGATATCACTGTGTCAAAAAGATATTTGCATTTCCATGTTAGTTACAGAACTAGTTATAATAGCTTATATATGGAATCAATTCAAATGTACAGCAACAGATAAATGGATAAGGAAAATGTACTATATATGCACAGTGAAATACTATTCAGCTATAAGAAAGGATAAAATTCTGTCAGTTAAAAGAGCATGGATGAACCTTGAGCATACCATGTTAAGTAAAATAAGCCACATAGAGAAACACAAATACTTTATGATCTTATTATCTCACTCATTTGAGGAACCTGAAAAAAAGGGTTGATATAAGCAAAGAGTACAACAGGGGTTCCCAGAGACTGAAGCAGGGAGATGGGAAAAGGCAGCTTCAAAAGTATTGTGTTACAATTAGATAGGAGAAATAAGTTTTTGTTTTTTGTTACACAGCAGAATAATAATAATTAATGAAAAGTTATCTCAAATTACAAAATAGCTAAAAGAGACCAGTTGTGGTGGCACATTCCTGCCATCCATACATTTTGGGAGAATGAGGTAGGAGAATCACTTGATGTCAGAAGTTCAAGATGAGCCTGGACAACATAGTGTGACCCTGTCTCTATGAAAAATTAAAACATTATCCAGGCATGGAGGCAGGTTCCTGTAGTCTCAGCTAATTGGGAAGCTGAGGTTAGAAGATTGTTTGAGGTTACAGTGAGCTAGGATTGCACCACTGCACTCCAATCTGTGTGTTAGAGCAAGATCCTGTCTCTAAAAAAAGTTAATATATAAAGATATAAAAAAATAGCTAGAGAAGAAGCTTTTGAATGTTCTCACCACAAAAATAACAAATGTATGAGGCAATAATTACACTAAGTACTCTGATTTTTATTGCTATACAACATATATACATAATTGTTTCCCCAAAATTTGTACAATTACATGTGTCAATTTTAAAATATGAAGACTATAATGTAAAATCTATAGCTGTAAAATTCCTAGCACAATACAGAAGGGTGAAGCTTCATGACAATTGGTCTCGGCAATAATTTGGGGGATGTAACATCAACGAATCAGACAACAAAAGCAAGGGAATACACATGGTACTAAATCAGTGTGTGAAAAATATCCCAAACAGGCAAAGCAGAACATGGAATAGATATATGCACATTTATGTACACTGTAGCATTACTCACAAACATACTACCTGGAAGCAAATGTACCTTTAAGGATGAGTAGATTCAACAAACAGGGCACGTATATTCACTGGATAGCATTCAGCCTTAAAAATAAGGAAATCTTGAAAAGTACTACAATAAGGACAAATCTCGAAAACATTCTGTTAAGTAAAACAAGACAGTCAAAAAGGAAAACTGTATAATTACACCTATGTAAAATATTTAGTCAAACTCAAAGAAACCAAGTGTTGTAGTCTCAGCAGTGCACCAAGATGTAACAGTCTCTCATAGTCTGAGATAGCATCGAAAGTTCTTTGTTCTACTTCTAGGGAGATTAAGGAGCGTGAACACAAAGGTGAGGTTAGAGTGAAAGTTTGATAAGCAAGAGAAGAAAGCTCTTTGCCAGCAGAGATAGTTTCTGAATGGGGTGACCTCTGTGAGGCTGGGGCCCAAGGTTTTTATGGACTGGGAAAGGAAGAGAAGGAAATGTGCCTAGTTAACAGGCTGTCTTGAAAAAAGTGTGGCTCAGCTTGGCCCAGGACTTTGACCCGGGACCAATCAGGAGCTGAAGGGATGATTCATAGATGCTATTTAGATTGGCCCAGGACTTATCAGAAGCTAAAGTGAAAGCTTGGCGCAGGAGCTTGTCCCGGGAGCAATCAGGGGCTGAAGTAATTATTCACAGAGGTCTGACTTACAGTCCAAATAAAGGAGAGTGTCGACCGGAATGCACCAGAGCCCACTGTGCTTATGCCCACAAAAGGAGAAGAAACATTTTCCTGGGAGCCCACTGACTGCACAAAGTACAAAGGCGTTTCTTTTTTTCTTTTTCTTTTCTTTCTTTCTTTCATTTTTGTTTTTGAGATGTACTTTCTTATTATTTATTAATTTATTTATTTTGAGACGTAGTTTTGCTCTTGTTGCCCAGGCTGGAGTGCAATGGTGCGATCTCGGCCCACAGCAAACTCCGCCACCTGGGTTTAAGTGATTCTCCTGCCTCAGCCTCCCAAGTAGCTGGGATTACAGGCATGAGGCACCATGCCCGGCTAATTTTGTATTTTTCTCCATGTTGGTCATGCTGGTCTCGAACTCCCGACCTCAGGTGATCCGCCCACTTCTGCCTCCCAAATTGCTGGAATTACGGGCATGAGCCACTGTGCCTGGACAAACAAAGGCATTTCTATGCCAGGTCGGTCTTGTTCCCTTATCTCAGTGAGCTGGAGGTTTGTACAAGTTTTTATCCAAATATGCCAGAGGTTTTTCTGTCTGTGCAGCCATGGGCAGGTCTCCAAGCACAACACCATGTGCTAGTTACCTTGTTAGTGTCTGCAGCTTGATTTTTTCCAGGATTCCTTTTATATTATGCAGGGATGAGACACTGACCCAAGGGCCAGGGACTTTCCAGGGACCCTTCTCTTGCTATCTAACTAAAGCAAGCTAACTAACTTGTTTCAGAATTAATGAGTATTCACTTTTACTTTTGTAAGACAAAAATTATCTAAAACCTATTGCAAAAAAAAATAGAACTATACTTACCACTTCTAAACCATATACTTAAAATGTTAGAAATGAAAATGGCATGTTTTTAACTACAATTAGAAATTTAGGACTACCTAAAAGGCACGGTTACAAAATCTTCAAACATCCCCTTCAAATAACAAAGGGTTCTTCTCACTTAATTATTTAGATTTAAACTATAAGTTGATTGTAAATTTAAGATTATTTCCCTGACTACTCACCAAGATAGAATAAAATAATCACTAGAAACCAAGAAAAGAGGGAAATTTATAGCACTAATGTCCACATCAAAAAGCTAGAAAGGGCCGGTCATGGTGGCTCATGCCTGTAATTCCAGCACTTTGGGAGGCTGGGGTAGGCAGATCACTTGAGACCAGGTGTTCAGGACCAGCCTGGCCAACAGCAAAACCATATCTCTACAAAAAAATACAAAAATTAGCTAGGTGTGGTGATTCACATCTGTAATCCCAGCTACTCAGGAGGCTGAGACAGCAGAAGTGACTTAAAACCGAGAAGTGGAGGTTGCAGTGAGCCGAGATTATGCCACTGTACTCCAGCCTGGGTGACAGAGTGAAACTCTCCCACAAGAAAAAAAAAAATTAGAAAGATCTAAAGTTAACAGCCTAACATCTTGGTTAAAAGAACAAGAAAACCAAGTGAAAACAAACCTGAAAGCTAGCAGAAGATAAGAAATAGCCAAGATCAGAGTAGAGCTGAAGGAGATAGAGACACTGAGAACTCTTCCAAAAAAAAAAAAAAAAAACTCAACCAATCCAGGAGCTGTTTTTATGAAAAAAAAAAAAATTTATAAACTAGATGGAACACTAGTTAGGCAAATAAATAAGAAAAGAAAGAACCAAACACAAATAGAAATAATAAGGGAGATATCATCACTGATCCCATGGAAATAAGAACAACGATCAGAGAATACTATAAACACCTCTATGCTCATAAACCAGAAAATCTAGAAGAAATGGACAATTTCCTTGCAAAATAAACTCTCTACAAGACTGAACCCTGAATAGATCAATAATGTGTTCTGAAATTGAGACAGTAAGAACTAGCCTACCAAGCAAGCTGAATTTGACTTGAGGTAAAGAGGAGATAGTACATTTTCTCCTAAAACTATCCAAAAAAAATTGAAGACAAAGAAGTTCTGTCTAACTCATTCTATCAGGCCAGCATCATCCTGATACCAAAACCTAACATAGATACAACAACAACAACAACAACACATCATGCCAATGTCTTTGATGAACACTGTGCAAACATCCTCAATAAAATACTGGCAAACCAAACCCAGCAGCACATTAAAAAGTGCATCCACCACAATGGAATTGGCTTTGTCTCCAGGATGCAAGGTTGATTCAACATATGCAAATCAACAAATGTGACTCATCACATAAAGAAAACTAAATAAAAAAACCACATGATTACCTCAATAGATGCAGAAAAAGCACCCAATAAAATTCAACATTCCTTCACGTTTAAAATTCTCAATAAATTAGGAACTGAAGAAACATACCTCAAAATAAGAAGAGCCATATACAACAAACCCACAGCCAATATCATACTGAATATGCAAAAGCTGGAAACATTCCCCCTGAAAACCGGCACAAGAAAAGTATGCTCTCTCTCACCACTCGCATTACAACTCCCATTCGGAAAACTTGTCCAGGAAAATCAGGCCAGAGGAAGAAATAAACAGTATTCAAATAGAAAGAGAGAAAGTCAAATTATCTTTGTTTACAGATGACCTGACCCTATATCTAGAAAGCCTCTTCGTCTCAGCCCCAAAGCTTCTTAAGGTGATAAGCAGCAGTAGCAAAATCTCAGGATATAAAATCAATCTGCAAAAGTAGCTAGCATTCCCATACACAAGCAACAGGCAAGCAGGGAGACAAATCATGAATGAACTTTCATTCACATTTGCTATAAAGAGAAAAAAATACCAAGGAATACAGCTAAGAAGGAAAGTGAAGGATATCTTCAAGGAGAACTACAAACAACTACTCAGAGGAATCAGAGTGGACACAAAACAAATGGAGAAACATTCCATGCTCACGGAGAGAAAGAATCAGTACCACGAATATGAGCATATTGCCCTAAGTAATTTATAGATTCAATGCTGTTCCCATTGAACTACTGACATTCTTCAGATAATTAGAAAAAAAAAACTTTTTAAAATTAAAATGGAACCAAAAAAGAGCCCAAATAGCCAAGCCAACCTTAAGAAAAAAAAAAAAAAAAGCTGAAAGGGTCATTGCCTAACTTCAAACTGTACTAGAAGAGTACAGTAACAAAAACAGCATGGTACTGGTATAGAAACAGACACATAGACAAATGAAACAAAATAGAGAGCATAGAAATAAAGCCAAAAACCTACAACAAACTGATCTTTGACAAAGTCAACAAAAACAAGGAATTAGGGAAAAGTCTCCCTATTCAATAAATAGTGCTAGGATAACTGGCTAGTCATGTGCAGAGAATTAAGACTGGAACCCTTCCTAACACCATAGACAAAAATTGACTCAAGATGGATTAAAGACTTGAATGTAAAACCCAAAACTATAAAAACCTTAGAAGAAAAAATCTAGAAAATACCATTCAGGATATAGTCATGAGGAAAGATTTGATGACAAAAAGACCAAAAGAAATAGCAACAAAAGCAAAAATTGACTAATGGGGTCTAATTAAACTAAAGAGATTCCACAGAGCCAAAGAAGCTATCATCAGAGCAGAGAAGCTAGAGAATGGGAGAAAAATTTTGCAACCTATTCATCTGACAAATATCTAATACCCAGAATCTATGAGGGACTTAAAATTTACAAGAGAAAAACAAACAACCCCATTAAAAAGTGGTCAAAGGACATGAACAGACATATCTCAAAAGAAGACATACATGTGCCCAACAAACATGGAAAGCTCAACATCACTGATAACTGGATAAATACACATCAAAACAACAATGAGATACCATCTCACACCAATTACAATGTCTATTAATAAAAAGTAAAAAAGAAATAAAAACAGATGCTGGTGAGGTTGTGGAGAAAAGGGAACACTTTTACACTGTTGGTGGGATTGTAAATTATTTCAAGCATTGTGGAAGAGAGTGTGGAGATTCCTCAAAGACCTAGAAGCAGAAATACCATTTGACCCAGCAATACTATTACTGGGCATACACCCAAAGGAATATAAATCTATTTTAAATAAACATGTATACATATGTTCATTGCAGCAATATTTACAATAGCAACGTCATGTAATCAATCTACATGCCCATCAATGATATACTGGATAAAGAAAATGTGGTACACATACACCATGGAACACTATGAAGCCATAAAATGTAATGAGATGATGTCCTTTGCAGGGACATGGTTGGAATTTGAAGCCATTACTCCCAGCAAACTAATGCAGGAACAGAAAACCAAACACCACCTATTATTATTCTAACTTATTAGCAGAAGCAGATCAATGAGAACACATGGACACATCAGGAAGAACAACACACACTGGACACCTGTTTCATGGCATGGGGGAGGGGAAGGAGAGCAGCAGGAAGAATAGCTGCGGATGCTGGGCTTAGTACCTGGGTGATGAGATGATCTGTGCAGTAAAGCACAATGGCACACGTTTATCTATGTAAGAGACCTGCATATCCTGCACATGGACCCCTAAACTTAAAATAAAAGTTGAAAAAAAAGCTTATCACATATGGACCACTGAACTTAAAATAAAACTTGAAAAAACATGAGTATGAGGTGGATTCCCTAGGTTAGACCCAAACTGAAGATCCTGAAGCTCCTGCTGGGGGATTTGGGGCTGGGGGCACCCTGGGGAGCTGCTGCCAAGGCCATCCACCGTCCCTACAGGCCGCCTCTCTTCCCGGCCTGTGATGGAAAGGAGAAGGGGTATGTGAACAGCTGTGGAAGTCAGACTCTCGGGAACTGAATCAGGCCCCAGCCCATGCCCCCCAGCCCAGTCCAGCCAACGTGCCCGCTGTCTTCCCACCCAGCCAGCCGAGCCCTCAGGATTGTTAGATGGAACCAGGC
This sequence comes from Homo sapiens, assembly GCF_000001405.40. Classification (NCBI taxonomy): domain Eukaryota; kingdom Metazoa; phylum Chordata; class Mammalia; order Primates; family Hominidae; genus Homo; species Homo sapiens. The sequence goes on along the minus strand of NC_000021.9, from coordinate 7,055,874 downwards.
TCCATCACCACCCAGGCATGGAGGGAAGATGCCCTGGTCCTTAGCAAGCAAGGCCTGGTTTCCAAAGTGCTCTCCGAAGAGGCCTCATGTTTGTGACATCTTAGAAGGTACCTTTCTGCTGTTCTTGCACCCAGCATGTTGGCAAGTCAAGTTCCCCCACTGAGTTCTCCACACATAAGGAGGGAGTCAACACCATTGCTAAGTCGGATCAGCTCAAGTGTCTCCAGTATCAGTTTTATCAGATCCCAGGGACCTGCCTGCTCCCAGAGGTGACAGAGAAAAATCAAGGAACGATCTGTATGGTCACTGACATGGATGAAACCCTTGTGCATAGCTCCATTAAGCCAATCAGCAATGCTGACTGCCTAGTGACTGTAAAGATTGAGGGGACCATGAGGCCTTATATGGATGAGTTCCTGAGATGACTGGAGGAACTGTTTAAATGTGTTTTCTTCATTGCTCTCTTCATTCCAGACTGAACAAGTATGCAGATCCTGTTGAGAGGTGACAGCGTGCTGGCAGTCCTCACAACCCTTGCTCACTCTCCGGGCCTCCTCTGCCTGGGCTCCAACTTTGGCGGCACTTTAGGAGCCCTTCAGCCTGTCGCTGCACTGTGGGAGCCCCTTTCTGGGCTGGCCAAGGTCGGAGCCGGCTCCCTCAGCTTGCGACGAGGTGTGGAGGGAGAGGTGCGTGTGGGAACCAGGGCGGCGTGCAGTGCTTGAAGGCCAGCGCGAGCTCGGCGGACCCCACACTCGGAGCCGCCGGCTGGCCCCACCGGCCCCAGGCAGTGAGGGGCTTAACACCTCGGCCAGCAGCTGCTGTGCTCAATTTGTCGCTGGGCCTTAGCTGCCATCCCACAGGGCAGGGCTTGGGTCCTGCAGCCCGCCATGCCTGAGCCTCCCCCCCATCGGTGGGCTCCTGTGTGCCCAAGCCTCCTGGATGAGTGTCGCCCCCTGCTCCACGGCACCCAGTCCCATCAACCACCCAAGGGCTGAGAAGTGCGGGTGCACAGTGCCAGACTGGCAGGCAGCTACACCTGCAGACCCTGTGGGGGATCCACTGGGTGAAGCCAGCTGGGCTCCTGAGTCTGGTAGGGACGTGGAGAAACTTTGTGTCTAGCTCAGGGATTGTAAATACACCAATCGGCACTCTGTATCTAGCTCAAGGTTTGTAAACATGCCAATCAGCACCCTGTGTCTAGCTCAGGGTTTGTGAATGCACCAATCAACACTCTGTATCTAGCTACACTGGTGGGGATGTGGAGAACCTTTGTGTCTAGCTCAGGGATTGTAAACACACCAATCAGCGCCCTGTGAAAAAAGACCACTCGGCTCTAACAATCAGCAAGATGTGGGTGGGGCCAGATAAGGGAATAAAAGTAGGCTGCCCCAGCCAGCAGTGGCAACCCACTCGGGTCCCCTTCCACACTGTGGAAGCTTTGTTCTTTTGCTCTTTGCAATAAATATTGCTGCTGCTCACTCTTTGGGTCCACAATGCCTTTATGAGCTGTAACACTCACTGTGAAGGTCCACAACTTCACTCCTGAAGCCAGCGAGACCACGAACCCACCTGGAGGAATGAACAACTCCAGATGTGCCACCTTAAGAGCTGTAACACTCACCGCGAACGTCTGCAGCTTCACTCCTGAGCCAGCGAGACCACGAGCCCACCAGAGGGAAGAAACTCTCAACACATCCGAATGTCAGAAGGAACAAACTCCAGACATGCCACCTTTAAGAACTGTAACACTCACCGTGAGGGTCTGTGGCTTCATTCTTGAAGTCAGTGAGAACAAGAACCCACCAATTCCAGACACATTGTGATGGGTGTGCTGGACCAGTGTGAGGTGTTCTGGGGTTGCCTAGCCCATGAGTCACGTTTGTTCCACCAGGGCTGCTATGTCAATGACCTCAGCCATCTGGGGAGGGACCTGAGGAAAACTCTCATCCTGGACAACTCGCCTGCTTCTTACGTCTTCCACACAGAGAATGCAGTGCCTGTGCAGTCCTGGTTTGATAACATTCCAGACAGCAGCTGCTGCACCTGATATCAGTCTTTGAGGACATGAGTGGAGCAGAGGGCATCTATACTAGCCTTGGGCAGCAGTGGGCCCTTAGCCTTTCCTGCTTCCCAGCAATGGCCATCACAGTAGGGGATTTTCCCACACTGTGCCTTTATGATCAGCCTGAAAGAATGAAGCCTGGAACACCTACCCACATGGGCCTGGAAACAGTGAGAAGTGATTGAAAAGAGCTTTAGGACAGCTTAGATTCCCAGTGGGTGAATGCCAGACCAAGGATACCCAGAGCTACCTGCCATCAAGTTTTTGGGTTCCCAAGATTGGGTGTGAGAGAAAGAAAGAGAGCATGTGTGTTTTGTGATGAACTGTGGGCCCAATATATAGTGTTTCAGTAGGGGAGAAGCTGAAGGACAGAGACTCTTCCCAAGTTAGCTTTGTCTCCTCTCCTGTCACCCTATGAGACCCTGAGTTCCATAGGGATGAAGACTGTTGAAGGCTCCATTGCAAACCTGGTCTTTCTTCAGTGCTGCAAGGCCTATGCCAAGGAGAAAGGAAAAGTATGTCTTTGGGTGTTCCAGACACACATCTTTCTGAAATATTTCTCCAGCCAGTTGTTGCAGACAAAAGATGATATTTCTGGGAAGATGGGGACTTATGTCCAGACCAGTACCCAAACCATCAGGTCTTGTGGCCTAAAGGCTATGCTTACTTAAGTCCAGCCAAGTGCCTGGGATGGATCCTTTCTGCATCTCCTCAAGACTCACCACTTAGGCATAGCCTCAAACCTGTGGGGAAGGAAGTTGTCTCCCCACCCTGCAAGAGGACAAATAACTGATTTCTCTTCTTTCGACTCTGTTTTAAAATTCTCTTAAAAAAAAAAAAAGCCTATCTGAAACTGAAAAGAAAAAAACAAAAAAACAAGGAAAAAGATGTCATACTTACATAAGTGAAAAACATACAGATATATCTATAAGCAACAAACACAGCTAATTCACACATATATTAAACATCACATTGAGATAAAGTGTACCGAGCTAAAAATTATCTTTCAACTGATGATATCAAGCTTTAAAATAAAAATACATTTAACTGATCTGAGAAAACATAACTCCCAAGAAAAGAAACACAATAACACGGACTTGAAAATAAGAAGAGAGATTTTCGTGCATAAAATCCTGAATACAACATAGATTTACAATGGAAAATAACCGTTTTTTTTTTTATTTTTTTTTTTGAGACAGAGTCTTGCCCTGTTGCCCAGGCTGGAGTGCAGTGGCGCGATCTCGGCTCACTGCAAACTCTGTCCACTGAGTTCACGCCATTCTCCTGCCTCAGCCTCCTGAGTAGCTGGGGATACAGGCGCCTGCCACTATGCCCGGCTAATTTTTTGTATATTTAGTAGAGACGGGGTTTCACCATGTTAGTCAGGGTTGTCTCGATCTCCTGACCTCGTGATCCACCCGCCTTGGCCTCCCAAGGTGCTGGGAATACAGGCATGAGCCACCACAACCGGCCGAAAAATAATTCTTTAGATATCTACAGCATTCAACTGTGTGCACTCATGAAAAGCAGACAATTTAAGTCATTAGAATTTAATAAATTGCAGTAAAATTATACAGAAAATACATTACAATCATTAATAACAGGCTCTAATGAGAGGAATTTAATAAATAATCATTAAAAATACAGGATAATTTTATTATGTTCTCAATATGTTGCTGCACTTCTTACCACAAAACATAATAAAATTATATGACTATAATATAGATTTCAAGAGCTAAAAAAGCCTTATATTTCCAAATAAAAGAACAACATAAATTTTGCAAAATATGACGAGCATTACTGCAGTATAAAGTAAATATCTGGAATTAAAATATACCATCATTTAGATACAGACTAAAAAAAAGAATATAAATGTTAATGATTCCTTTCTGCCTGCAGTGAGCTTAAAATTACAACCAAAAATTTTAATAAATATGTAGCACCTACAAGACATTTTATTAATAGCTTACATAATGTGGAAATTTGAGCAATTTATTTTAGAATTTTTGAATCTAAAAATCACCAGCTTGACATTCATTTGAGAAAGTGAAACATAAAGGAGAGTAACATAAGCAAGACGACAGAATGGGAGGTTCGGCATGCACATCCCCCACAACATAATGCAGCTGCCACGGGAAACATAAGTGCATTCATGAAAGCCTTAGAATCCAGTTCAGAGTTTGTGACACCCAGCTGGAGGCAAAGACCAAGGAAGACATCTTTAGAGGGTAAGCACTTGACCAAGTGGCAAGCTTGCCAATCATGGTCCTCGGTTCAAAACAGAATACTACCACATCTTACTGTAAACTTGGCTATGACTCATTTGAACTTGGTCCTGCCACTGCAAAAATCTGTGAAAAACACAAAAGAATTCATACTCATCTGAGACTTAGGTGACAGGCCTGCAGAACTTGGTTCTCTCTATAGTCCCTGAATCAGGCAAAACACACCTTCTTTCCTTCTCCAGCCAAGGTCTGGAAGAAATCTTCACATTGATATGATGAAATGCTAACTAACAATATGAAAAATACTAAAGTATAAATGTCACTAAAAATGGTAAATACATACTGAAATTCAGAATACTCTAAATTGTTATCATCTTAAACTAGACTATTAAAATACAAGAGGTTTTACATAAGTCTCATGATAACCACTGGGGGAAAAAAAAACATAGTAAAGAAAAAGAGAAAGTAATTAAAGCATACACAAACAACAAAAATTACACATTGGATACAGTGGCTCCTGCTTATAATTCCAACACTTTTGGAGGCCAAGGTGGAAGAATCATAAGCTCCTTGGGTGTTGTGGTACATGTCCAAGTAGTCCAAGCTACTTGGGTGGCTAAGGGGGGAGGATTGCTTGAGCCCAGGAGATTGAGGCTACAGTGAGCTGTGATATGCCACTGAACTTCAGTCTGAGCAAGAAAGCATAACTTTGTCTCAACAAAAATGAACAATACCACAGGAAAGACAGAACCAGAAAAAAAAGAAGCAAACTTAAAATGGACAGAAAACTACAAATGTACAATAGTAACTGCTTACCTATCACTACCTTACAAATAAAAAGATTAAATTATCTACTAAACAGATACTTCTGTAGACTGAATGTCATCTCCAAAATTTAGGATAAAATGGCCAATGTGAAAGAATTAAGAGGTGGAACCTTTAAAAATTAATTAAGCTATAAGCACTCTGCCCTCATGAATGGATTAATGTTCTTATTATGGGAATGGGCTAATTTTAACAAGAATGGATCTGTTATATATTAAAAAAAAAAAAGCTGTCTCTCCCTCACATCTTTGGCCATGTTATTATCCAGCAACTAGACCTTCAACAGATACCAGTAACATGTTCTTTTACCTTCCCAGCCTCCAGAATCATGAGTCAAATAAAATTCTGTTCTTTATTAATTACCAGTCTGTGATATTCTGTTATAACAGCCAAAAGAGACTAAAGCAGACAGAGTGGATAAATGAAACTTTTAAACCTCGTAATATGCTGCTTACAAGAGACTCAATTATGAATTAAGAGCATAGGCTAAAAGTGAAAGGATAGAAAATGATATTCCATGCAAATAATAGCCAAAGGAGTTCAATGGTAGTTATGCTTAAATTAGACAAAATAGACTTTCTAGCAATGTCTCTCACAAGCATGAAATGAGTTTACCATACAATAATAATAGAGGTTAATTTGTCAAGTGAATATAGCTATATATATTTATGCACCCAAAAGGGAGGCTTCTAAATATAAAAAGCAAATATGGGCAGAACTGTAGGGAGAAGTAGAAAGAAATCCAATAATAGAAAACTTTAATGAAATGTATAATAAAGGACAAATAGTTAACAGCATTGTGAATTTGCAAGGGAAAGCTGTTCTCCTGTGTTGCATTTGAGAATGCAGCAAAGAAAGTGGGAACTGATAATTTTACCACAAGCCTGAGTTAGGCTGAAAAACAGGGTGGTCGATTAGAGGTTCCACTTGCCATATATTAAAAAAACACAGGAGAAAACCAGTCCTCCTCTGGAGTGTTAAAATAATTAAAGAGCAGAAAATTAGACTAAAGTGGCTCTAGTGTCCTGGGTTCATAGGTTAAAAAAAAAAAAACAAAAACTAAAACCTAACTCAAATACATTTCCTATAAAGCATTATCTTAGCCTGAAACAAAATGCACGTTTAACCAATGGCAAACATGCAATTAACCTCTGAATATGTAACCAGGACATTTCCATCTGGATAGTTCAAATAAGGTGACTACATAACTGGAACCAATTTTTGAATTTGGGCTGCTTTCTCATGCATCTTATGAAAGCCTTTCCTTTATGCCCCTCTGGTGGACCAGAAATCATGGCTGGGTGCTTTCCATTTCACCAATCACTGTTTGTTCAGATAAACTGGTTAACGTTTTAACATAGACTCCCGTTAATTTTTAACAAGAGAGACTGGGGACCCCACGGGCCGCAGCTCCTCCCACGCAAACACCCAGTGGCAGTTTTTCCCTGATGACCCACCAGGCCTCCCTGAACAATCTGGGAAATACTCATGGCTGTGGGCGCAGAGCAGGGCGCTGCCCAGGGACAGCACCGGATGGGCCAGGCCGGATGTGGGGGTCCTCGATGCTGGCCCAGCGGCCATCTTGCAGCCACAGGGGACTGAGGGCCAAGCTGCGGGAGACTCGGAGCTAACCGTGGGGGCCGGTCCTGCCGGTTTCACAGCCTGCTGTCCCCTCTCGGGATGCCGAACCCCGTATACTCACCATTTCCCAGCTTCCAGGATGTCCTGTCATCTTAACTGTGCGTCCCCAAGGACCTACAGATCACAGGGCAACAGGGGCTGTGAAAGAGTAGCCCGGGGCTCCCAAAGCGGAGGAGGCGAAAGAGGAGACGGATCCCAAGTTCCTGTGCCAGCGCCAGCAAGAGACAAAGACCCGCCAAACGCCAGAAGCCACGCCCTCCTCTCCTGTCCTCTCCAACTGCGCGCCTGATTGGGCTGTTCCCACATCAGTGTCAATGACTGGATAAAACTCCAGGACTCACCCACCCCCGCCTGACTCCTGCCCCTACCCCCACTCCCCCTCAGCCTTAGTGCATTTTTGTTAGTTTGTTTTACTTTAAGTTCTGGAATACATGTGCAGAACGTGCAGGTTTGTTACATAGGTTTACATGTGCCATGGTGGTTTGCTGCTTCTATCAACCTGACGTCTAGGATTTAAGCCCCATATGCATTAGGTATTTGTCCTAATTTTCTCCCTCCCCTTGACCTCAACACCCTAACAGGCCCCAGTGTGTGATGTTTTGTTCCCGGTGTCCATGTGTTCTCATTGTTCAACTCCCACATATGAGTGAGAACATATGGTGTTCTGTTTCCTGTTCCCGTGTTAGTTTGCTGAAGAGAATGGTTTCCAGTGTCATTCACGTCCCTGCAAAGGACATGAACTCATTCTTTTTATGGCTGAATATTATTTCATGGTGTATATGTGCCACATTTTCTTTTTCCAGTCTATCAATGATGGGCATTAGGTTGGTTCCAAGTCTTTGTTATTGTAAACAGTGCTGCAATAGATATATGAGTGCATGTGTCTTTATGCTAGAATGATTTATATTCCTTTGGGTATATAACCAGTAATGAGATTGCTGGGTCAAATGGTATTTCTGGTTCTAGATACTTAGGGAATCACCACACTGTCTTCCATAATGGTTGAAGTAATTTACACTCCCGCCCCCAGCAGTGTAAAAGCGTTTCTATTTCTCCATAGCCTCATCAGCATCTGTTGTTCCTGACATTTTAATAACTGCCATTCCAAATGGTGTGAGATGGTATCCCATTGTGGTTTTGATTTGCATTTCTCTAATCATCAGTGATGATGAGCTTTTTTCTTTTTCCTTTTTGTGTGTTTGTTGACCACATAAATGTCTTCTTCTTCTTCTTCTTCTTCTTCTTCTTCTTCTTCTTCTTCTTCTTCTTCTTCTTCTTCTTCTTCTTCCTCTTCTTCTTCTCCTTCTTCCTTTTCTTTTTATTTATTTTATTTATTATTATTTTAAAGACGGAGTCTAGCTCTGTCACCCAGGCTGGAGTGCAGTGGCAGGATCTCAGCTCACTGCAACATCTGCCACCCAGGTTCAAGTGATTCTCCTGCCTTATCCTCCCAAGAAGCTGGAATCACAGCCACCCGCCAAAACACCATGCTAATTTTTTGTGTTTTTAGTAGAGACATGGTTTCACCATGTTGCCCAGGCTAGTCTTGAACACCTGACCTCATGATCCACCTGCCTCCATGGCTGAAAGTGCTGGGATTACAGGCTTGATCAACCACGCCCAGCCAAATGTCTTCTTTTGAGAATAGTCTGTTCATATTCTTTACTCACTTTTTGATGTTTTTTTTTTGTGTGTGTGTGAAATTAAGTTCCTTGTAGATTCTGGATATTAGACCTCTGACACATGGATAGATTGCAAAAATTTTCTGTCATTCTGTAGGTTGCCTGGTCACTCTGATGATAGATTCTTTTGCTGTGCAGAAGCTCGTTAGTTTAATTAGATCTCATTTGTCAATTTTAGCTTTTGTTGTGATTGCTTTTGGTATTTTATTCCTGAAGTCTTTGCTCATGCCTATGTCCTGAATGGTATTGCCTAGGTTTTCTTCTAGGGTTTTTGTGGTTTGGTGTTTTATATTTAAGACTTTAATCCATCTTGAGATAATGTTTGTATAAGATGTAAAGAAGGGGTCCAGTTTCTGTTTTCTGAATGTGGCTAGCCAGTTCTTTCAGCACCATTTGGTAAGTAGTAAATCTTTCTCCATTGCTTGTTTTTGTCAGGTTTGTTAGAGATCAGATGGTTGTAGATGTGTGATGTTATTACTGAGGCCTCTGTTCTGTTCCATTGGTCTATATATCTGTTTTGGTATTAGTACTGTGCTGTTTTGGTTACTGCAGCCTTGTAGTATAGTTTGAAGTCGGGTAGCAAGATGCCCCAAGCTTTGGTGTTTTTGCTTAGGATTGTTTTGGGTTGACAGGCACACAGGCTCGTATAGTTGGGGTCACCTGCCCAGAGTATCACAGCTAATTAAGAAGTGAGCTGAGACTTGAAATGCACATGCTCCTTCCCTTACCTGGGTCTGTTGTATAATGCATCTTAGCAGCTATTTAACAGTAGGAATTAGAACATTTGGACATCTTTTTAACAACTTTTTAACCTGCATTTTGATAATGCAGGAAAGACCTTCATCCCGTCCCTGAGCCCCTCTCTCACCACGCTACATCCCACTGCTGACCACATTGTAGGGTAGCCATTAGGAATCAGGCGGGCAGTGGGGGCTGGGAATAAATAAGCAAGGATTATGCTGCCCAAATTTGCTCATCTTAGAAAGTCTCCTCAACCATTCTGTGTGAAGTGATTATTCCAGGGTAATTGTGGCCTGACTGCGCTGCATGTCAGTCTGACTTGTCTTTTTGAAAATCACTGGATTACTCTCATGAACGGGGGTATTTCTCTTTCTATTTGAAAACGGCCAACTGTCCTCTGCAGGTGTCCTGATTTGCTAGTTTAGACCCTGAAGGTAGCGGTGAGAAAATATTTGGGCCACAACAGAATACCTATTCTCAGCTGGAAGATATATAGAAATTTCTTAATAATATCTAACCATTTTCTCAATAACCATTATATTTAACATTGATAGCTTGGAGGGCAGGGAAGGACACAGATGACACAATCTTCAAAGTTTATTTATAAGTTTTTTTTTTTTTGTTCTTGTTTAGTTTTGCTTAGTTTTTGGATACAAGGTCTTGTTCTGGTGCCCAGGGTGGAGGGCAGTGGCATAATGATAACTCATAATTTGGTTGTAACGGTTCTTTAAAATATATTTTTGCTGAGAGTGCTAGCTCACACCTGTAATCTAAACACTTTGGGTGGTCAAGGTGGGATTATCGTTTGATCCCAGGAGTGCAAGACGAGTCTGAGCAACATAAGTAGGCTCAGTCTCTAGAAAAATATTTAAAAATTGTCTGGGTGTAGCTTTGCATGCCTGTAGTCCCAGCTACTTGAGAGGCTGATTTGAAAGCATCACTGGAGCCTAAGAATTTGAAGATGCAGTGACCCATGATTCAGCCACTGCATTGACAGAGTGAGATATGTGTGTGTGTGTCTGTGTGTGTGTATAAAGAATTTGTATGTGAAAAAAATTCAAGCACAGGATAAAAGTGAAAGCCCATGGTGGGGGATGTGGAGAAAGGTCAGTGTGGCTCCAGCAACTCAGTGAGACTTGGTTTTCCATCTTGAAGAATTGCCCATCCACACTGACACCATAGCCTAACATATGCCAGTTCTCACACTACACCTGCTGGGATACCAGTATGTAGCCTTTTGAAAAAAATAAAATCTTTCACCTAAGAGAAGGACAAGAGAAAACGAGGGTTTCACATCTAAAGCCTTCATTTTCTTTATGAATCAACAGCCACTTGTCATTTCAATTGTCCAGAGGCGACTGACAGCACCAATACACTTAATGAATCAACCAGGAAAAATGGGCCTCTCAGGTGAGGAGGAGGCACAATGGTCACAAAACCCAATCCGTTCTCAGCTTTGCATGGTGCTCGCATCTCAAGAAGTGGTGTTAGCCATGTGAACCGTGTTCACTGGACAAGGCCAGAGGAAAGAATATTTAGTACAACACAACTATGGGGCTGCAAATCAAACTGGTAGTGAGAGCATGCATGAGGCTTCAGTGGCCGAGACACTGGTGGCTACCCTTCGGTGTCACTTAAACCTTTGAGGTGAAGGACGTTTATTTTCCCCAATTGGCTCAGAGAAACTAATCAACATTAATATTGAGATTTGTTTTTCTTTTCAAAATTTCTAAGACACAGAGGACTCTAACACTCCAAAAGACATTCAGATATTCTTGCAGCTGAGGACTTGACTGCTCTGTAGAGGGATGGCAGAGCAGCAGCCACCAGCTTTAAGAGCTTTAAGCTCCTCCTCTTATAGGGAAAGGCCACCCCCACACAACCCCCCTAACTTCATAGGCTCTGGCTGTTAGGTGCACCTGGGGGACTGTCTTCCTCCCATCTCATTAGCTCTCCAAGACAGTTCAGCTCAATCTAAAACCTACCCTAAGATGGCGGTATGTAGACTCTCCTCCATTCTCCCAGCGCAGTGTGACTTCTGGAGAGTGCTCCCCCATCGTCTTACCTCAAATGATGTGAAAAGAGCTGGTTCCCGGGTAGTTAGATGTTCAGTGACCTAACAGGCCCAGCATGCGCAGGGCCTGGCCCCACAGCCTGGCACCTCTCTCCTACCTGGCCTTCACTTCGACCTTTTCTCTTCTGTCACCAATGTCAGGTGATGGTCACCAGTGCCACACTCTCATGAGCTTGGTAAGTAGCAGGGGTGTAAACCCCAACAGATTTCCTGTGACTCTACCCTCTTACCTCCCACTCAAGTGACATTATAAGCATAATTTTATATTTGATCTAATTTATGCATAACCTTTTTATAACATTTCTGACAACAGCCCACACAACCACATGAGTCTGGGTTACAGAACACACGGGCGAGGCTCGGGTAGCAGGTTTCACTTACTTTATTCCAATGTGAAATGAAGATTGATGATTTAAAAACAAGACAAAGTTGTTTATCAGCTGTGGGGTGGCTACACTTGCTAGCTCATGCTCACTTCCTTTGAAACAAGGTATCTGGACAGACCATATTCATAAGTAAGACTTCGCAAAACCTCAGACAGAAGTTCCAGTCAGACACAGCTCCCTCAGGCTCACAGGGTGGCAACCGCCTCCATGTTAGGCTCTGACAGCAGGCAAGGAAAGGAGCACAGGCAGCAGGGGACAGGGAGGGTCCGGGACTGTAGGGATCCCCAAATGCCCCAGAGCTATTCTCTGTAGAAGGGCACACGCAGGTCTCACTGTGTCAGTGCAGTGGCTGAATCATGGGTCACTGCAGCCTCAATCTCTTAGGCTCCAGTGATGCTTTCACCTCAGCCTCTCAAGTAGCTGTATGGCAAAAAGCCTCCTACTTTTTACTTAAAACCTGGACTTTAAGCCAGGTTGGGCCTGGGAATAGTGGCAGCAAAAGCAGCAGCCAAATGTATACACTTCAGATGTCTACACTCATGGGCACAGGCATATTCCACACTTGCTGGAACACGAGACGCCTGAGAGGCACCTGTTTCCCAGCTACTAACTGATGTCCACACACCCCATTCACGTGTCTTCATTTAGGTCTCTGCATCGTATATTTGCTCAGCCAGTGCAAACACATCTTCTAGGGGGCAACATTAATTGCAGCACCTGCCCCACTTGTTCTGGGAGGGAGTCAAGAGGAATCTGGTCAGCTCCTAATCCCCCAGGACAAAGGTGATGCCCCCTTTTCAGGACTTACATCCAGCAGCGTCATCTCGGGATGGGTTTTTCAAACACAAGCAGCATGAGGTAGCAAGCATGGTGTGACAGGCTCAGGGCCATGGGCAGCCGGCTTCTGGAGAAGCAGCACAGGGCAGGCACATCTGTGGGTGGCACCATGACAAGCCAAGACAGCCTCAGCCCCTAATCCCAACAGCTCCAGCCCAGATGGCATTCAAATCTTCCCGGATAATATGGGGGTGCCCGATGCCCATCACTCGCCCTCTCATTAGCACGGCCTTGTTGGTTACTCAGGGACTAAGGAGAGGGGGTGGGGGATGTAGATCCAGGGTGGGCACTGCCTCACAGCCAGAGTCCACCTGACTGCAGGCCAGCAAGCAAGCCCAAGCAGCTCAGCTCTAGTCACCTCTGGCTGCACTTTTTATGTGTAATTTACACAAAGGCAGCAAAAGGAGGTCAACATTAGCTGTTGTGACATGAAAGTCTATGCCTCATTAAGACCTTAAAATGCTATTGTCTTAAGCTCTCTTTACTCTAATAAAATTTATACAAATAAACACATACAAGGTGAACTACTATAAAGGAAATATTAGGATTTTTTAAACCCATAAACAGACATGAAAACAGTCACTGTTTGATTGCAGAGAAAGTGAGCTTCTAAAGCACCTGACCACAAAACAGCCTCACCAAACCCCAGGCAGGCCAGGCAGTCTGAACACTACAAGGCCACGTGATGGTCACAGAGGATGACAGCTCCCATGAGTATTGCAAGGCACTGTGTTAGCTTCTCACTCACAGTCTCAGAATACCCTGTGAGGGGAGGCCCCGTCTCACTAGAGCACAGGAGGTTCCTGAGCTCTTCCCAGAAAATGGTCATCAAACGATGGAGCAGGGGGAAGCCCAGACAGAACAAGTGAGTCCCTAGGGTCTCCTTAACCTCCCTCAGCTCCTCCACATGGGTTCCTGAGGGAAAGTGAGCAGTCTCCTAACCCCTTTGTTAGGGTTCCAGTCCTGCAGGTCTGGACTCTCTCATTTTATGCTACCATAGGGGATGACAATGCAACCCCAGGCTCCTTTTTTGCCATCCCTCAATGCCAGGCCAGGCCCAGAGCCATTTGCTGACACAGCCCAGGGGATGCTCAAGGCCCACCTCGGCACAGTCACCTGTAGTGTACTGAGATGAGCAAGGAGGTGCAAGTAGACACAAATCCCCATGGGCTTGGCCTCAGCTATGTTCCACAGGCTCAGGGCCTCGCAGAAGAGCTCACAGCCCTCCTTCAGGAAGCCTGCAGATCACACCCTCAGGGAGCAGTGCTCAGATGAGCAGGCAGGCCCCACATCCCCCACCCCATGACGCTCTGTTCCACTTTGCAGGCTTCTGCATTGGCCAGTCCCCACTGCTTTCTGGTGAGATGTCCGAGTTGAAGTGAGTGTTGAATGCCACACAGCTGATGGAGCTCACTGCCTTGCACATGTTGTAAAACACCTCCTGGTTACAAGGGTCAGCTGTGGAGACACAGCTTGATGGGAGGTAGGCCCACTCCACCATCAGTAGTGCTGGGTTGCCCTGATCTGCACCTTCCAGATACTTGCTGAGATATCTGCATGCTTCTCTAAGGGACTGGGTCACGAGACACCCCTGGCAAGGACCAGCTGGCAGAACAGGCTGGACACTCTCCTTCAGCCTCCCCAGCAGCCCTACCTGTGCTGTCATCTGTGCTGATGATCTCCGTGGTAAGATTATGGGAAACTTTTACAGCAAGTTTTCCTTTCTCACTTCCCTATCTTAATAACAGCACTGATAACTTTTAAGCCCTAGAAAGCTGGAACTGCAAGACACATGATCTTCTGCCTTAGAAGGTCCATGTTTGGGCAGTGTGTGCCCAGGTGAGAGCCCCATGGTTGTTAGTGGAAGCCGGGAGCTGGATGGGCCTGGCCCCATAGCCTAGTGAAAAGTGGGACCCTCTCCTTCCAGAGCATGGAAGTCTCAGAGGCTGGAAAAAGGTGCCTGAGTGGCCTGCCAAAAAGCATAAGGCTAGAAGGGCTGGAAGGAACCCCAACAGTCTTCAAGGTGCCTGAGAGGGCTGGGCTCATTCCAGCTTTCTTTGCTTTCATCCTGATAGCAAGAAAACCTGCTCACACATGGCAGGCGGGCCTGAGGCTACCATTCCCTCATCAGGGGCTATAGGCACTTTAATGTGGCTCTTTCTTGAAGCAGCTGCTCAGGCCGGTTCTCGAAGAGAAGTTCCCTCATTATCCACAGGTTCTTGTTCCAGCCCCGTGTCTGCAGAGGGACTAGGGAGGGAGAAAATCTCTCAGCCTGTGCCCCACAACCTGCTCTGAGATATCTCTTTTGTTACTTCCTCACGGACAGCATCAAACTTCCAAATGAACAGACCAGCATGGAGCCTCCAGAAAAGTGCACAGAATTCTGTCTAGTACCCAGATGGAAGGGGGTTCCCAGTGAGGGCAGGGCCAGGCTGCATGCACCTCTTCAGGAATGTTCTCCTCATTGTCCAACTTCAAGGTGTGCATCCTCTGTGTGTATGCAGTCCATGGCAGGCTCTGCCTGGGGAACCGTCCAGCTGAACACCTGCAATGTGGTGGTGACCCTCTTGAATGAGTGGTTGTGGGCCCCATGGCAGTCATCAGAGAGGGAGATGCTTAGCCCACCAAGCCGAGAGCCCTGCCACAGCCTTCTGTGAGGCCTCCATCTGCTCTGGGTTCTTGCCCTGAAAGGCTGTCCTGAAGTCAAACAGAAGAAGGTGGGCCTCTCTTCCAGGGCTGCTCTTTATCCCACTGACAGCTCCCTAGAGGGCGACTAAGACAGCGGGGACAGATTCCTCAGGCAGAAGGACTGGAGTTTAGGCTGACGGGTTCATTCCATACCCCCACATGAGATGACACAAGGCAGGGGCTGTGGGACAAAGGCATTGCCTTTCCTTCTGGGATGAGGAATGGCATAGGAGACAGGGTATGGTGGGGCTGGGGTTGAGCGATGGGCTTCACTGAGTAAGTGTCCTGGTTATCTGTCCACAGACCCAGAACAAGTGGCATCCCAGGAGCCTGGGAGGGGCTGGCAGAGACTTACTGGTTCCAGCAAAAGCCCATGTGGATGCAGCAATGCTGCCTGCTGGTCCTTGGCTGTAATTACAAACAGGTACTTGAGGTCCCCATGCATCTTGCAGCTCTCAGAGAGTGTGTTCCAGCTGCTCATGGTAGGCACTTTTAGTCACTGAACGTGCTTCAGGAATGGCCAAGCTTGATTAAGCCAGGCGTCTTGCTGTGAGACCCTCCACCCAACTGAGGACCCTCTTCCTTGTTCCCCCTGGCAGTTTCACCTTCCAGTTCTGGTTCTAGAGACACGATGGCCCCTCTTGGGCCCCTGGGAGAATGTGCTCAGGTGACACACTGTCGACAGGGCCCATTTCCAAGCCATTCTTCCATTTCCCACTGTTTGAGGGGCTGAGGCCGGTGATCAGCACAGGGCCACCCAGGGCCAGCTGTCTGCACCTAAACATCATGCTGGTCTGGATGTCTCAGGGCCAGAACTCTCCAGGTGAGATGGCCTGGTCCTCAGCACCTGGCCTCCGTGCTCCTTTTTCCTCTGTTCAATCCTGGCCCCAATGCCTCCCGCAACTCTCAGGTCACCATTGGAGAAGATGCTCAGGAAGAACAAGAAGCTGCAGTCAACCCTGCTGAAGGTGGCATATGGGTCCAGGCTCTTGAGCTGGTCTTCGACATGGTACATGTGGATGCAGGCTTTGAGCAGTGTGAGTAGCTCTTTCCGGAAGGAGGGGAAAACGGTGTTTCCAGGGTCCTACACCCTAGAACGACCCATCTAGCACAGAAAACAGTTTGCAACGTGCTATCATGTGTGATTTTAATTTTCAACTTTAGGCTTTCATTTTCAATTTCCACAATAAACACATAAGGTGGGGTTCTGATTTCAACACACACACATTCTCTCTCTCTCCCTCTCTCTTAGAATCTTCCAGTGCGTTCACACTGAAAGCCAAAGTCCTCCCAGAATCTTGTGAGAACCTAAATGATCTGAATAGTTTGTCATTGATTTTGGGGATCTGGGAAAATCTCTGCACATTTCTGGAGACCGCTGTTATGCCAATTTTAATAAATCTGTTGTGCTTCAATTCAGAAGTGTGTGAAGGGAGTTGTGGAGGAATTGGCATTTGGGTTAGAAATTCCAGGAACACCAGAGACAGATGACACCTGTTTTCTGCTTCATAATGTCAAGTTTTACGATGGCTAAAACCTAATTCTACAAGAAAATTAGACTGAAAAACTTTATAGGCAAAAATTATCTTATTAAATAGGAAAATCTAAGTATTTTATTTTAAAATTTCCTTTTTCTTAGTAGGACCTAATCATAGAAATGTAAACTCTATATGCCAACAGCCTCTACTGTAGGATGGTTTATTGTATGTACTCATTTTACTGATTTCTTACAAAAACTTTTTCCGTAAGGGAAATTAGAATATTGTTCAACATATATTGAATTCACAATTATTACTTTATTTCTCACTTAGTATTTTATGATTCTGTCTTCTTTAATATGAAGATTACTATGACTGTGTTTTCACTTTCTGAATTATCATGTGTCACATTTGTCTGTAATTTCCTTTCAGAAGTTGTAAAATAGCATGCTCAAATGTATATATTATGTATAAATTATATAATTTATAATTTATTAAAATATTTGGCTTGTATGTTTAATTGACTCTAGGCACAATGTTACTATTAGCATCTTCTTCCAGTTTTCCCAACTTTTATTTGACTAATAGTACAATTTATTTCCAATTTTTATTTTATATGTCAATGTTTTATACTGTATTTACAATATTTATATTGTTACCATATTTAGAAATGTAAGACTTTTCAATTAAAAGCTAGATTACAGCCTTATCGTTTTGTGTAAGAAAAGCAGCAATGCATCAGTAGCATAATTTAAAACTTTCTCTAGTATTACTTAAATGCTTATTCCTTAAAACTTTCTCATCACAGCTCTTTGTATTAATTATAATGTGTTTTCTCTGAAATGTTGTTGCCCTAACTGTATCCAAATAATTCAAAATTCATACTTTTCATAGATTCACAGGAAGAGTTAAAAATTGTAGTTACCTGGGATTCTTTTTCATTTGGACACTATGTTTATTCAGGATTTTATGGATTAAAGTTTCTCTTAATTATGTTTTATAATTTTATGTTTCTGTATTTTTTAGAGTAGGCTGTCTCACATCAGTTAATTGTGTTTTTACTTTCTACCTATTTATTATGATTTTGAATTTCATTATTCAAATAAGAATTTGGGGGTTAATGTTTATTTTAACTTTGTTTTGCAATTTTACATTTCTGTGTTTCATGTTTTAGGGTAGGGCACCTTATATTAGTTTATTGTTTTAAGTTTTAATTTGTATAATATAATATTGTATAACAATATTCAACTCTGTATGCATTAAGACAGTGTGGGGCAGAAGTCAAATATGAACCATCCCTATGTCTTTTGTTAATACAATGATTTAACTGTTTGTTTGCCTGTATAAATATTGCCCCTATTTTGTTTATGACTTTTATATTTTCTTCTTATTTGATGGCCAATAATTTATTCTGTCTAAGTGAGTAATCATGGAAATTGTCTTAATTTCAACATCTATTGTTTATATTATCTTAGTGTGAAGGAAAGATTTATGTGATTTGAAGATAATTTTTCAGAAACTTTGTAACTCTCTCCCTTCGGGTGTCTTTTTTTTTTTTTTTTTTTCTTTTGACAGACTCTCACCCTGTTGCCAAAGTGCAGTGGCACAATCTTGGATCACTGCAACCTCCACCTCCCAGGTTAAAGCAATTCTCCAGCTGCTGCCTCTTGAGTAGCTGGCATTAAAGTTCTGCACCACCGCGCCTGGCTAATTTTTGTATTTTTCATGAAGCTGGGGTTTCACCATGTTGGCCAGGCTGGTCTTGAACTTATGGCCTCAAGTAACCTGCATGCCTCAGCCTCCCAGAGTGCTGCGATTACAGGCATGAGTGATCACTCTTGGCCCTTGGGTGTCATTTTTAATTTCGATTGTGGTAAAAATACATAACATAAAATTTAGAATCTTTAATATTTTTTCTTATACAGTTCAGTCATGTTAAGTGTATTTACATTGTTAAGCAACATATTTGTAAAATTTTTTCTTTTGCAAAACTAAAACTCAGTACACATGAAATGACAACTACCCATTGTCCTTACCACCTGGCTCCTGATAAAAATCATTCTATTTTCTGGTTCTAAGTTTCAATACTTTAGATATTACATATAAGTAGAATCATAGAGTATCTGTTTTATTGTGACTAATTTTACTTAGCATTATGTTCTCAAGATTCCTCTTTATTGTGGATGGTACAAGATTTTCTGCCTTTAAAAGCTAAGTAATATTCCATTAGTTTTATATTACAAATTTTATTTATTTATTCATTCTATGAGGAAAATTTGTGTTGCTTTCACCTATTGGCATTTCTGAATAATGCTGCAATGAATATTGGTATGCAAATAGCTATTTGCTCATATGTGTGAGGTTTACATGTGTGCTACCTTCTGTTTTATTGGAAAAATTGTCTGTGTTTATGCCAGAAACAAACTGTTTTCATTGCTGTTGCTTTGTAATGTGCTTTGAAATCAGAAAAGGTGAGGTCACTAACATTGTTTTTTTTAAACATTTTGGGGCTCTTTATGGTCGCTTGAGATTCCATATAATTTGTTGGTTCCTTTTTCTATTTCAAAAAAAAAGTTCTTAATTTAAAAGGGATTGCATTGAATCTGTAACTCGCTTTAGACATCATAAGCATTATTCATAATATTAAGTCTTACAACCCTTAAACATGAGCATGCTCAAAAGTGAGTTGTTTAATTTCCATATATATGTTGCTATTTTTGTTTTCTTCTGTTATTCATTTCTAGTTTTATTCCATTTTGATCAGAAATAATAGCCATTGAAAGGCTAAACCACTCTGGGAAGTGACCCCCATTATAGAACATTACAAAGAGATGTGAGGGCACCACTTCTGCCCTGATGGGCTACTGGGATGAGTTCTCTTAGATGACACATTGCAGACAAATGTAGGAAACAATATAACCCCTTTTTCATGTAAACTCTTCCCTATTTTTGTAGAGTATTAGTGATAGTGGTGGCTTTCAAGTCTTGGAGAAAGTCTGGCAGTACCATGAACCTGCTTGCTACAGATGATATCAGAGGGGAATAATTAAAACTATACAAACTGTAGTAACATGAATAAATGCAGCCTAGTGTAAAGTAAAAACAACACAAAGGCCTTCTCTGATATTTCTACAAGAATGTAAAAAGGGACTTTACACTTAACCAAGTTGCCACTGGGACCAGTTAAGGCTAGATTTTTGGGGGGTAGATCTGAGGGTCACTCATGGAAATCCCCTAGGAGAAAGCGCAGAGAAATTCCATATTTGGGTCTGGATCCTGGACCCATCCTGGTTTTGTCAGGTCCCTCTCTGTAGAGAACCCCATGTGCCTGCTCTCAACATAACTCATTGTATGCCATGCTTGGGGGGTGTGGTGAACCTGCCAGTTGTCCAAGGAGATGGGGGACTTGAACCCATCAAATATCTGCTCACTGATTTTAATGCAGCTCTACAAAGAGTGTTCCCAGCAGCGAAAAAAGTTAATTGTCTTCTTTGTTTTTACCACCAGGTGACATCTGCATTAGAAATTCTGTTTCCTAGATCAGGAACATAGGAGTATCTGCATAGACCCCCAGCCAATGAGGAAACCCGAGGACAGCTTAAGGCCTTGGGATTCACATCTGAGTAGACGTACTTGGTCCGCAACTCACAACTTTTTATTCCACCAACCGTGACCTGGGTATGAACATGACAGACCCACCAGGGTTCCTGTGTCTTAAAACCTGCCCCTGTGAGGAAAAGCCCCCTCCTTTCCTGCTCCCCTTGCAACACAGGGTAATGGTAGGCAGGGTCGGGTTGCCCAGATTAGATGACACAGGTGGCCTGGCATGGACGGACCTGCCCTGGGCTAAACTGTGTTACCTGTGGGTGCCTCTTGTCGAATGGCCAGTGGTATCAAGGATGTAGGCTGAGCCAGTATGTATACTGTCAGAAAAGGCTCTCACTTTGAGCCTTTCTCAGGCAACAGCTTGGGAATATAACACAATGAGAACACAGTGCCCTCTCAAGCATCTCCCAAGAAGTTAGCTAGATACAGGGCTGTCTCTAGAATGTGGGTTTCTGGTTCCCAAAGTTCTAAATTCTGTTAGGTTTTGTCACAAGGGAAGTCTGTTAACTTCTTCAAGGTTTTATCCCCTGAGCCCTTTTCCTCCATAAATCTACGCAAAGTCCCTGCTGGGCTGCTGATTGCTCACCCTCCTCTCCCATGTCAACTCTTTACCTGTAAACAGTTATGCAAACACAATTATGTCCCTTAATTCCCAAAAAGTTCTAAATGCAGCCAGGGCCCCAGGTTTGAGAGAACAGAGTTGGGTTAAAATCTTCTTTTCCTTTTCATTTCTGTGACCATATGAAAATGACTGTGTGCTTCAGGTCTCCCCAGCCCTGAAGTATGCATAATGGGATTATGCTAACATCAACTTCCAAAAACAGTCTTTGGTGATATATGAGATAGAATGAATCAAAATCGGTTGGATGCAGTGGCTCTTGCTGTAATCTTAGCAGATTGGTAGACCAAGGCAGCTGGAACACTTAAGGCCAGGGGTTTGAAACCAGCCATGGCCAGCATGGCAAAAACCCTTCTCTACGAAAAATCCAAAAATTAGCCAGATGTGTTGATGCATGCCTGTAATCCCAGCCACTCAGGAGGCTGAGGTGTAAGAATCACTTGAGCCCAGGAAGCAGAGATTACATTGAGCCATGATCCTGCCACTGCACTCCAGCCTGGGTGACAGAGCGAGACTGTGTCTCAAAAAATATATATATATATAATGTATATAAATATTTTTATTTATATATTATATATAACTATATATATATCAATTATATATAACTATATATAATATATAAACTTATACATATATATCTTTATATATAAAAGATACATAGTTTATGTATCTTTATACATAAAAGATATATATTTTATATATATGGCCTTAATTTTCCATTCCACAGCAGAAGAGGTTGAAATTAAAAGAAAATCAGATACTGTCTTCTGGCATTAAATATTCCAGTGCTGTGCATTATATTTAGAATCATATGTATATGCCTCATCTCAGCCTATGTGGTGGGCACCCCCAACAAAGTCTCACAACAACACTAAGTTGTGAGTGACTCTGTTATTTTAAAACGCAGCTCACCTCTCAGTGCCTCAGAAGCAGGTACTATAACACCGGGTTTCTAACAGAGAGATGGGATTCCAGCTCAAGTCTGTTTCCCTGTGCTTACTTAAAGGTAGTAATATTCTCAGAAAGGTTTAGGAGGTAGGTTCTGGATTAGTACGGAATTGCTTAAAGGAAAAATGTATGGAAAATCACTGGGCATGAACAACTATTTTTTCTTGCTACACACAGATCACATGTGCAAATTTGGGGACAGTTAGTACAAAACATGTGATGGAAATTTGGGCTCTGACATCAGTGAGCTTATTTCACACAGACTCCAGTTGACCATATTGGTTCCGACCAATTTTAGCCACTTTTTAGAAGTCTCATAAGTGGAATAAATTTCATTCTTTCAACAAGTTGTATCTTTTCTTATCTGTCATTCTGCAAACTGAAGAATTTCTGTTAGTCATTGGATGAACTCTTTGGGGACCTGGTTCTAGTTTCTGTCAAAGGGAAAACAACAAATGTGATAGGTTATCACTTCTGACTTAGTTCAGACTTCTATACCAAAAAACATAGACTAGGCAACTTATAAATAAAAAACATTAGTTCTAGAGGCCAGAAATTTGAGATTGGGCTTCCAGCATGGTTGGGGTCTGGTAAGGACTCTCTTCTGAGTTTCAAACTCCAGACTTCAGGTTGTTTTCTCATTTAGCAGAGAGAGGGAGAGACAGCCTTCTGCGGTTTCTTTTACAAAGCCCGTAATCGCTATCATGAGGTCCTCATGCTTCGGACTTAATTACCTCTGACCTGCTAAGGCCATTACACTGGGGATTAAGGTTCTGGTATGTGAACATGGTGGGGAATCACATAGTCTTCTGCAACTTCCAAAGTTATATTTCTAAAACAGCTATTATTTTCCTCTTACTTGCTCTGTCCTGTGTGTCCTCTCTCAATCTCTCTGTCTCCCTTTCTCTCTTTTTCTCTGCATATGTCTGTCTATCTCTTTCATTTTTCATCTCTGTATTGTAATCCTCAAGATGAGGAAGTGATCTGCAGTGTCCTAAGATGCTCTAGGCACAGACCCACATGATAGAGAACTGAGGAGATGCCCAGGCCAATCGAGAGGAAGGAACTCGGGCTCTCAGTTCACACTGAATCGTGCCAGTTTCCATGAGGCAGATAGAAGGCTGATCTCTCCTCAAATCCAGCTTCAGTTGAAATCACAGCCCCAGCCTCGTAAGAGACCTTGAGGCAGAGGCACCCAACTAAGCTATATCGAGATTCTGGTTCACAAAAGTTGTGAGATAGTATTTGTTGTCAACATGTGCTAAAATTCAGGGAAATTTTGTCAGAGAGGGGCAAATGACTAATCTCCTCTTTCAGTCCCCAGGATCCTCCCTCCCCTCTTTTCCTTTCTTTCTCAGGCTGCCTGCCGCCACAATTGTCCCGTTATAACCTCCTCTGCTGAACTCACCTGTGCCTGTGAGTCTCTTCACAAAGAGTGGCTTTTCCCTGACACACTTTGCACACCTGCGCAGGACTGGCTCTCTGTTGTCATTCTGGTCACAACATAATGTCACCTCAGGGAGGCATTCATGTCCCCTCCAGGCAACCTCTCCCCAGCCCTCCCTCCCAACATTCTACTTTATTTCCATTATAAAATGCTCTTTTCTTTCACATGTACTTGCTTTAGTGTTTTTGTCCTGCCGTCCTCAGACTGTGGGCTCCCCGCGGGGAGGCAGGGATAACATAATCATTTTTGGTACCATAAGGTGAACCTACCAAGGTAGCTGCCACATGGTGAGTGCTAGGGGAAGAGTCGCTGAGTAAAATAACATGGAAAATCACAAAGCCCTTCTTCCCACTTTTGGCCACCCAATAATGTGGAGATCATGAATGATAACAGGAGCTGCAGGACCTCAGCCTGTCTCTCCCCCGGCTCCAGCTGCTCCAGTAAAGCCCAGCGGGCATAAGAAACACGGGGTCTGCCGCCACCTAGAGGCCTCCACTAGCCCTGAAGTCCCAGGTGGAAGCATCACAAAACAGGCACCTGCATTGGGGAATTCTCAAGGCAGTGGCTATTCAAGGACCCCTGGGAAAAGGAGCAGTATCTGAAGACTCCAAGGGCCATAAAAGTAACCTCGGAAACCTCCCTTGATTCCTATTTTCCTCAGCCTCTTTGAGTGTGCTGTGCACTCATTAAACACTTTAACAGCATTCAGAGACATTATTTTCTTCCACTTCTGAATGAGGACCTCAAGGACAGCCCAAAAATCTAGTATTTTTTCTGGGCCCCACACTCCAGAGCCCAGTGCATTGTCACATTCTGCTTTATTCCAAGTCCTCATCTGCCCACATCTCTAGGCCTCTCTCTTCTCTGAAGGACCTCTAGAACCTGAAAAGCCTCTTCCCAGAGTCTCAAAGCACAGTGAGTTACCAATGAAGAGCCAAGGGGAGCAGACACTTATGAGTATCTAGAATTCTTGGTATTATTCCTTTTGAGTACCCCTATTTATGAGAGAGAAAACGAAGGTTTTCTTTCCCGTAGCCTCACTTTATATCACATGGGGTGGTTGGGGGAGGGCATAGCTCATTTTAGTTCCAGGTGCCCATAGAGGTGGGAGTCACAACCCCTGTCCTGTCCTCTTGAAACAGCTGGGAAGATCCCCAGGCCTGGAAGAACCCAGGGAACCTGGAGGATCCTTCATCACATGCTGTCAGCTCCTGGTCATGTAGCTGGGGGAGTGGATGCCTCTGCCTCATGGCAAAGCTGCCTCTTCTATTTCTTCCCGTTTTGTCACTTCTCTGGTTTCCTCTTCTCTAACCTCACCTCCATGATCTCCACCTTAGAAGCCTGTGTGTGTGTGTGTGTGTGTGTGGTGTGTTTGTGTGTTCATGGCTGCACACCTATGTGAGAATAAGGAAGGGTAGAAAGCCCAGGTAGAAAGTAGACCACAGGGTTTTCCAGGACTTAAGAGCACTCATTTCCAAAGCAAACCTGATGGGTGGGGTGCATGCAAGGCCTTGGAAGCTGGATCCCTCCCTAATACTCTGTGCTCTTCCCAATTTCTGGGATATGGACCAGTCTTTGCCTTTTTTGGGGGCCTCAGTCTTCCTGTTGTAAAATGGATAGGTGGTCACAAAACTGCATAAACACATGCTCAGTGAAGACAGGGTGTCATGCTCAATACCAGATAGAATATTGGGATGGGGAGAGTTTGAGCAGACTTTTGTGTCCACGGTAGCTCAGGCCTCTGAACAGGGCAAATGCAGGTGAACATAAAGCACGGCACAGCCAGGTTTTCTTACCAGGGCTACGGGATGAAACAGTGCACCACAGGCTCTGTTCTGGAGGCTGGTCCCGCAAGATTTTCCCTCCTTCAACCAGCAACTGTTTGATGAATTTCATGTCCTGTGAAGCCCATATCCACCCCCATTACAGTGAGGGGCACAGGGCACTAGACCTGTAAAATAATGTCTTTTGCCTTTTTTTCTTTTCTTTTCTTTTTCTTTTTCTTTATCTTTTTCTTTTAACTGAGTGGCTGTTTCTTCTTTCTCTTTTTCTGTTTTGTTTGTTTTTTAACTAATTTTTAAGAGGTCTTTACAGGTCAGCTGTGGTGCCTCACATCTGTAATTTCAACACTTGAGAGGCTGAGGCGGGCGGATCATTTGAGGTCAGGAGTTAAAAACCAGCCTGGCCAACCTGGTGAAACCCCGTCTCTACTAAAATTACAAAAAATTAGCCGGGAATGGTGGCACAAGCCTGTAGCCCCAGCTACTCAGGAGGCTGAGACAGAAGAATTGCTGAAACTTGGGAGGCAGAGGTTGCAGTGAGCCGAGATTGCACGTCTGCACTCAAGACAGGGTGACAGAGTGAGTCTCTGTGGAAAAAAAAAAAAGAGAGAGAGAGAGGGAGAGAGAGAGTGCCCTTTATGGAAATGCGAGCCCATTTGTAATTTCATGAGTTGTAAATATTTATTCCAATTTGGGAATTTCTTTTCTTATTGTGGTGTTCTCTTTAAGTTTGTTTTGGATGTTATTAGTGTTTTGTTTTGCTTTGTTTCTATGTAACTTCTCCCTAAATTGATTCATAGATTTCCATTTTCACAATACAATATTTTGGCAGAAATCTTGTGGAAACTGTCTAATCAGTTTAAAAAATTTAAATACATATAAAAAATCGAAGAAATGTAAAAACTGTCCTGAAGAATAACAAAGTTTGTGAGCTTAAAATGACATATATTCAGACTTAGATTAAAGCTATAGTAATAAAAGCTATCTATGGTAGTAATGCAAAAATAGGCACAAAGAAAACTAGAAAAACTCGAGAGTCCAACTCAGACTCACACATTTGGACATTTTGTATATTACAAAACAGGCACAGAAGAGGAGTGAAGACAGTCTTCTCGGTAAATAGCCTTGAGTCAACCAGTTATTTATGTGAGAAAAAACACTCCTATCTTATATTATTAACAAATTCCAATGAAAAGTGGATTTTAAATTTTAAGGTCAAAGCTGAAAGCAATATTTCTAGTAGATAACATAGATAAATATGTCCATGACTGGCACAGGCCCAGATTTCTTGGGACACAAAATGCATTAATTCTCAAGACAAAAATATGACAAATTGGACTTTATTACAATTAAAACCTTCTCTTCATAAAAAAAACCTTCAGGAGAGCTGAAAGGCAAGAACAAAGTGGAAATCAACATTTGTCATATATTGATGTGGCAAAAGCCTTTTATCTAGTTTATTTAACTAAATCCCATCAATTAATAAACAAAGATGCAATACATTGAACAAAATTGACAAACATGTGACTAGGAGTTCCACATACAGAACCGAAGGGCCAACAAGTAGATGAACATATCCACATCCTTATGCATCAGAACAATGCATATGAAAACTACAATTGAATGCCACTATGCAATCATTCACATTTTTGAAAACTGACAAAATTAAGTACTAGTGATGATGTCAAGCAACTGGAACTTTCTTATACCATTCTGTGTGCAAACTGTTATAACGGCATTCAAAACCTCTTGAGTAGTAACTCCTTACATACACGATGTACATAAGCACACTCTAGGACCCAGCAACTCTGCTACTAGGTATATACACCCAATAGAAATGCCAGCATATTTTCCAATGCAGACAAATGCTCTAAGCAGCATTATTTGGTACTTTTCCAAACTGAAAAAAACTCAAATGTGCATCAGTAATAAAATAACTAAATAAAACAGCTACATATTCCTTTATAAGGGGACATTATACAGATATAAAATTAATTGGAGACATATTAAAATATACAAAAATCTAACAAATACAATTTAATTAGATTTAAAAGTCCTATCCACAGCAATCAGCCAATAGAAAAGAAAAAGGCATACAAATAGAAAAAAAAATGAATTCTCTTTCTCCA
Organism: Homo sapiens; assembly: GCF_000001405.40. Classification (NCBI taxonomy): domain Eukaryota; kingdom Metazoa; phylum Chordata; class Mammalia; order Primates; family Hominidae; genus Homo; species Homo sapiens. Next base: position 7,028,705 of record NC_000021.9, on the reverse strand, counting down.
TTTGCATTATGAGTCACTACGTAGACAATGCTAAAGTCTTTCCAAAACTCCTTTTGGAGAAAACTTGAAAAGCCTCCTGAAATGGATAAGCAAGTAAAGTTTTAGGACACAAAACCAATGTACAAAAACCAGTAGTATTTCTATGCATCAACAACTTTGAATTCCTGAACATCTTCTGGTTTTATTGCATTTTCAATTTTTTCCCTCCATTAACTATACATTTTTTCTTTTTTCAGCTAAACTAATTTATTCTTCTGTATAATTTCACCTTGTTAATAAACCCCAGGCCAAAAAGTGGGAATAAAGTATTTGTCTGCATCCTGTTTCCTCATTTTGAAAACTAGTCTAGATGAAACCTATACTTGTTCTAGGGAGTTGGCATAGACAGCATTTATTTCCGTTCTCAGCAGTGATGCCAACCAGAAAGAGGGAGTTCCGCATTTTCACTTTGGTTAGACAGGACTCTGGATGGTTGTAGGGGAAAAGATCCAAACTCTAAGGGAGTCAAATCAGACATTGCAAAGATTTATACATTTACTCTGGGAGCAATTATTGTGTTAAATTTTGTGCAAAACACTGCGCAAAGAGCAATTAAAGTGAAAATTATTAAGGCATTACCTTTACCTTGGGAAACTCACACTAGTCAGATTCTCCGAACCCCAGAACATAACAACAACCTAGTAAAATCTTGTTCAGAGTGAAGAGAGGGTGGGAGCAGGAAGGTAAGATTAAAAATTAGGCTGGGTGAATGAGATAATTACCCCTAGTCAAGCAGTGGAAGTATGGATGGCTTTGGGATGGGTGAAGACAAAAGAATCTCAGCAGAGGGTGCAGATAAAAAAAGGCAGAAACACAGGAGGCTTATGCAGGAAGAGGAATGAGTTTGCTGGACTGGGGAGAGTGACAGTAAAAAGCAGAGGATAATAGGCATCTCTGGTCATCTAGGGACTATAGGGTGGATTAGTTGGGGGTTACAGAATCAGTGAGGTACTTTTTAACAGTAGGATGGGTAAATAAGAGCTATAATTTGGAATAATTATGTAGCAATGGTGGTTAGGAGCAATAGAAACTCAAAGTATTACATAAATATTTTTTTTCTTATTCTCCCACACAAGCGTTTTGCCTTTCCTCTTAAACTGAGAACGGAGTGGTTTGCTATGATGTTTTTAAATTCTCACAGACAAGCATTATTGTTTGCTGCCTTTTAGTAAAGGTTAGTTTTAACCAAATTAAAGAAGATTGAATGGATTTTCTTGCTCATAAGGGTTGAGTGCAATATCTCATACCTTCTACTAGTTTTCAGTATAACTGAAATAACAGAGTGTCAATACTCCATGGAGGGGTGTTCCGCTTGCTAAGGCTCCCTCCTCTGGGCTAGGCCTTCTACACCATGGCTGTCCTGCTGTGGCTGGAGCTGGAATTTGGATTGACCTCTGTGTGTCTTCCTAGCACACAATAGGTGTCCAATTAGCATGGGCAGAATCAAGCTCCTCCCTCTCACCATTTATTTCTCCATTTGTCCCTTGTTGGGAATGGAGAGTCCTGCCACTGAGTTCAGCCCAGGGTTGAAGTTCAAATCTCAGCTGATACTTGGTGGATGTTGACTTTTTTGAGAAGAACTTGGGAGAATAAAACATTATAAAGGCGCTGGCCAGGCACGGTGTCTCATGCCTGTATTCCTGGCATATTGATTGGCTGAGGAGATAGAATTGCTTGAGGCCAGGAATTTGATACCAGCCTTGTCAACATAGTGAGACCCCATTTATACAAAAAACTTGAAGCATTAAAAACATTTAGCCAGGTGTGATAGTTCCAAACTGTTGTCTCAGCTATGCTGGATATTGAGGCAGAGGATCACTTGAGCCAGGAGTTCTAGGCTGCGGTGAACTATGATCACGCTACTGCACTCCAAACAGGCAACCACGCAAGATGATTCAAAAATAAAATCTTTTATTATTCTTCACCCCTATAGTCTCTCCAGAACTTGTGCACTATGTAGCAGAAAGAATCAAACTCCCCAAGAGTTTGGTTCTTGCTCATGATTTGGTTTTCTGCTGCTTGGCTGCCCCGTCATGTCCCCATTTTGTATAAAATAAGAACCCCCCAGTGAAGTGGAGTTTCTCCCCAGCAGAGGGTCTCACCAAGGCCCCAAGACTGGCACTTTAGGTGGAGGCTTGCCTTTCAGCCTCTGAATAATAATTGATACTAAAATTGAGAAGTTTTCCAGACACCAGCTTCCTGAAAGGAGCATCCAGTCAGAAGACAAGATGAGGTCAGTAGCGAAGGTGACTCAGGCTGAGTGGGGAAGTCCACCAGCGTATCTGAAGACTGAGCTAGGGGAGGGTTTCCCTAATGTTCACTCCTTCTGCCCTCCATATATTCCTCTACTTTTCCCAAACTTCCCTCTGACATCCTCCAAACTTTCTATCTTCCCAGGGCTTTCTTGCCAGGGAGTCTAATGAAGTAAAAGCTTTAAAATTGCTTTGATTTTAAAAATAATTTTATTGATTCTTAAAATGTACCGACACAAAATTAGAATACCAATTCTTAAAATGCTTAAAAAGTAAATTAAGTGTAAGTTTACATTTAATTATCTTATTTGATTCCTAATTAAAATACAAAAAAAATTTTTTTTGAAACAAGGTCTTGCTCTGTCACCCAGACTGGAGTGCAGTGGTGAGATCTTGGGTTATTGCAACCTCCACCCCCTAGGTTCAAGCGATTCTCATGCGTCAGCCTCCCAAGTAGCTGGGACTACAAGCACACACCACCAATTGGCTATTTTTTGTGTTTTTAGTAGATATGAGGTTTTGCCATGGTGCCCATACTGGTCGCAAACTCCTGGTCTCAAGTGATTCACCCACCTCGGCCTCCCAAAATGCTGGGATTACAGGTTTGAGTCAACACACCTGACCTTAATTTTTTTTTTAAATTATAGGTAAATTTAAATTACTCAGAAATAGTCAGAATTAACCGTTGAATACCCTGAATCTTTTTCCCATGCATAAGCCTTTCTAATCTTTCTATTCAAATTTGGATTTGATTCGGTTCTAGTGTTTTAAAACCTGCTTTTTTCCTTCAAAGAAATGCAGACCATCTCACAGGCCAATGGACATCACAGATTTTCTGATGCTTAGAGGCTGACTGGTTGTTTATCTATGACCTCCCATAATGTACTTAAGTAACACCCTCTTGATGATGGGGTTAAGTTGTTGAAATTACCTTATCTTTTCTGAAGCACTACGTGGAAAATATTAGATCTTGAAAGAAACACATAAACCCATACCACACACTTCCTTTGAAATTCTCTGCTGCTTATTTAAAGAGATGTTTATTCCTGACTAAGGTCCTACATTACACTCTCTGTAGAACTTTTGGAAACTATAAAATTACAAGAGAATCAATAAAGCAATTTAATTTCTCACAGGATCCTGCTTCCTATAAGAAACACATCAATTCCTATAATTCGGCATATTTCCTCTCAATCATTTTTCTACACATTTTAAATTTTGAGCTCTAATGTATAAGTTTGGTTATACTTTTTAATGTGTGCCTTTCATTAATTTGTTTAATGTTATATCATCTCATAAGCACTTCTCCATGTGATAAAAAATTCTTTGTACATCCCATTTTTAATACATATATGTAGCTCCAAAGAAAAGGCATATCTTGTTTACTCTTCTAATCCCGTAGTATTCGAAAACTTTGTTTTTCCAATTCTTTGAGATAATAAACTGGTTAGGGTTAGTATTTTGGTCCCCATTTAAATTTTCTAAGAGTTGCCTTTCTACAAGTGGCTAAGTGACTGTTACAAGGAGAAGAGCCCTCCTGAAGGGGTGTGCCATGGGGTTGAGGCCTCCCTGCAAAGTGCCTTCCTTGTGGCAGATCCCCATGTGTCTTTCTAAAATCAGCACAGTCAGACTGAGAGTGATTGGAATTCTGCAGCTGTGAGCCCTCTCGAATCTTCCTTGAATTCAGATGCAACTAATCTCCTCCTTGGTGGACACCAGGAAGTAGGCTGTAGAGCATTCTGTGACCCTGAAGAATGACACGATGTTCTTGATGAAGAGGGTGGATATTCCTGAAGGAGAAATAATGTTTTCTCAACAGCAGAAGCAGATATCAAGTTTATTCAATGACTGGGTCATGGAAAATCCTGTTCTCTACAGGTTGATGCTACATTCCAGGCAAACCCACACCCTCGGTGTATGCCAGAGGCTTCAGAAACACAAAGGAGCTCATACAAGATGAGTGCCAGGCAGCTATGAAAAGAGCTGAGATTCTAAACCACAAATAAAGACAACTACGAATATAGGTGAGACGAAAAACTGTAAACCTTCTTAAGGGTGTACAACATGTAACAACGGCTCCCATTAGCTCATGTTTAGATACCAAGGAAATAATAGCAGGAATGTTTTATGTTCACATTCCAAACAAAACCTATTATCATTCTTTGTCAGTTCATTTAGTCCTGTTTTATTCATACTTGTTTTACTCTATCTTGTAAGCACATATGCTTCTCTGCTAGAATTAGAGAAATAACTTAGTCCACTGATAGTGTTTCAAAGTTATGTAAGTCATTCTATCAGAAGCCTGTTTATAGGAGTACTTGGTACAGTTATTTCTGTGGGTCTCTGAGATATTCTTATTTTGTTGAAGACAAAGCCCTGTGGCCTGGAACTGATTTGCAAGCACTTTTAGAAAAATAGCCGAGTACAACCAAAAGTATATACTAATGAAAAAGTAAGCCATGCTTTCAGGTATGTAGTTAGTTGATACACTAAAATATTCTTTTATATAATGCAAACAGCACTAACACTTTAAAAAATAGAATTATATTATGCACAGTGAGGGCACTGGAAATTTTTTTAAAAACTTTAATTTCTGGATTATTTACGTTAATAACAATTATGTAAAAAATTTAACCTAGGGGAAGCTAAGCATATGTCTTATTATTTAATATAACAATATGCAAAATAGGCACGTTTCCATATATGATACTAGGACATAAAGTGTGCTGATACAAATATGAAACATAAAATATAAGTAAGAAATAGAAAAAATGACCTGTGTATGTTGATTATTTATATGTGTTTATTACTATTTTTAGTAAATTAGATTATGTAAATATGTATTATATTTTAGGCAGCAGCAAATATTAACATATTTTTTAACGTGCAGCTTAGATAAGAATTGATGATTACAATTTATTAATATTAGCTACTTACGACAAACATTATGCAAAAAGAAACTCTAAAAATAATTTTGTATTAACTTTGAAAATTTTAAACTCTTTTCCACAGAAGTTTTTAAATTACAGACAATAAAATAGAAAGTTTATAAAAAAGAAAATGGTACTGAGAAATAGTTGGATTTTGATTCATTATTTTTTCTGAATATTAGTACTTGGAGCTTCACTGTTAATAATGCCAATAGGCTACACAAATTTTCTCTTCAGTAAAATGGCAAAACAGAAGGCATTCAATTTTTAAATATAAGATGCAATTTTATTACCTTTTTTCTATATAAAAGACACAAAATTTAGACCAATAAAAACAGAATTTCTTCCATGAAATTTCAAGAGCTGAGCTGAGCTGGGAAGAGCTAACCTGCTTAATATCAGAGTTTTAAATTAAAGCAAGAGGCCCACATCAAAGAAATAGTTATGCCTTTTTGTCTTCCTTTCTGTGATTGTGTTAAACAACAGGCAACATTAGATCAAGCACCGACTCCTCATTGTTCCATTTTTTCCTCATGGAAAAGCACCAGGAAAGGGTCAGATGGATCAGCACAAATATGGGGCACTGTCTCACTGCCGAGGTGGCACCCTCATAAAAAACAGGCCCGCAATTTTGTGGAAAAGGGGGCAGGAGAGCGTAGAGGAGAATGTATGAGCAAGATTAAAGAGAATTGAATATTAATAGGAATCTATAAAAATTATTATCAAAGTTCCATTTCTTCTCCAGAAACAGGGATCTGAACAAAAGTTTCTGAAGAAGGCCTCAACCAAAAGGCCCTCAGGAAGGTGCCCCTGAATCTAGATGCCTGGACTGGGAATGAAAATCTACATGTGAGCCTCAGTGGCCAAGATTTCCGGTATTGTTTATTTCAGCCCCTTAGAGACTGCAAAGCGCTGACATTTACATGCTTCTCCTACATGCACATGTCAGCAGCAGTGTGATAACCAATGCTTTCAAAGATATAATGTGGGTATGAGAGTTTCTGGCAAAAATTTAGATAATCTTATCTTTTCAACCTCAAATAACAATATATGCTGAGAAACTTCAAAGGCATGTACCTCCACAAATAATTTTTCAGGAAAGAATGAAGAAGCACAGCTGTAGAATAAAAATTAGGCTGGAAGTTGATGCTACCTGTGGGAATTGCTAATAATGGAAGCACAGGTTGTTAGAATTTAACGTGTCTGATTGGTGAATATAATGTCACAGCAGCATAGATGCAGGAGTACTTGGATCTGACTATGCTATCTAAAGCTAGAATCCTTACATTTTCAAAAGTTTAGAAAAATAGGTTAGTTAGTGGAGGTGGTATTTCTCCTCTTTGGTTGATTTGGAAATTAACACCAATCATCATATGAGTTTCTGGTTTATATGTACACTATGTGTTTTACTCAGGACAATTTAGGTAAATATATAGACTTAATCATTTTCAGGTGTCTGTAAAGGGTGCATTATTAACATTACAGATAACTTTTCACTGGAATAAAATACCTCGACCCAGAATCTTCAATGGCCCCATCAATTGAGGTCAGTCATTTATAATAAAATGAAGTCTACTATTCTTTTTAAAATATACAAAGTAAAAGTCATCAAGATCAAAGTTATTAAGAAACAAAATTATAAGAAAAACACAGCTGTACCATTACATCTTAAAAAATCCCAAAATTGTATATATACTGTAGAAATAATATAAGTAGTTATAATGTTTAAATATATTAGAGGAAAAGTTTAAAAGTAAGATCAAAATAAGTTATATTATCAAAATAATTAGGTAAAAATTTTAAATTTAAAGGATAGAATGCATAGAAAAATTACATAATTGAAAAAGAAATTATGAATTAGAAGATATGATGAAGTGAATATTTAGAAGTCCCAATAGGGATAAAACAAATAAACAATATGAAAAATTAAAATACATAAAAATCTAAAATAAGTCATGTTGTTTAAGTGCAAGTTCGAATAAATAAAATGGAGTGAATGTCAAATAGGGAATAAAAATATATAATTATTAAAATAATTAATTATAATAGCTTAAAGGCATTCTGATCAAAAGAAAAACAATAGTTAAAAGCATAATACCATAATAGAGAAAATCACGTAAAGCTATCTAAGATAAAATTCAAATTAATTATAAAGCAATGAAAAGAAACATATTTCTCAATATGTGAATAAGATCAAGAATCCAATAGGTTATGGTTTTCAAAGTTCTGAGGGAAAAACATGTAAATTTAAAATTACATATATTTGAAAAGTTATTTTCAGGTTTAAGGACAAAATGTAACTTAATACACAAATACAATGTAAGTATAATTACGTCAGTGAAATGCATTTAAAATTTGCTGAAAATTTAGTTTATAAAGAAAAACACTCTTCCTGAGAACAAACATTGAGATAAAATAAATGTGCAAACATCTAAATAGATGGAAACTATATTAACACTGTGTGAAATTATACACAATATGTGATATATCCATGTGAAGCATATTTATGGAAGCATAAAAGAAAATGTTATCCCAAGAGTTATATTAAATAAAAGAGTAAATTTGATAATAGATGAGTAACTTATTTTATATCAGTATAATGTATATTTAAGAGATTTTTGTCACTAAATTATTAAATATTGAGTGCAAATCCTATATACTGTTTGAACAATACTATTATTTTCTCAGCAAAGATCAGCACTGAAAGACTGACTCCTGCATAGCCACTGACCACAGCTTCTGGAACAACAAAAGCATTGAATCATTAATCCTGAATGTGGCCAATGAGCATGAGATGAGGAAATCTACCCAGTTCATGACCACAAAGCAACTCACCAGCAGCTGGATGGCCTGGGTAGCTTATTTCTCTGGAGAGACTTAGACAGTGACTCCTGATACAGAGATGCTGAGACTGCATTTTGTGCCTGGAGGAGAGAATTACCACGTGTGATTGAGAGCATCAGTGTTCCTCCAGAAGAGACATTTCTAAATGCTGCTAGTGTGAAAACCGAGCTTATGTTCACGTAGCCCCTGGGGGAAGAAAAACAGTAATATTTAACAGTACATTTTAAGAACCAATAAAATTATTTTTAAAATCAAAGCAATTTTAAAGCTTTTACTTCATTAGACTCCCTGGCAAGAAAGTCCTGGGAAGACAGAAAGTTTGTAGGATGTCAGAGGGAAGTTTGGGAAAAGTAGAGGAATGTACGGCCCACTCAGCCTGGGTCACCTTCGCTACTGACCTCATCTTGTCTCGACTGGGTGCTCCTTTCAGGAAGCTGGTGTCTGGAAAACTTCTCAATTTTAGTATCAATTATTATTCAGAGGTTGAAAGGCAAGCCTCCACCTAAAGTGCCAGTCCTGGGGCCTTGGTGAGACCCTCTGCTGGGGAGAAACTCCACTTCACCTGGGGGTTCTTATTTATACAAAATGGGGAAATGAGGGGGCAGCCAAGCAGCAGAAAACCAAATCATAAGCAAGAACCAAACTCTTGGGGAGTTTGATTCTTTCTGCTACATAGTGCACAAGTTCTGGAGAGACTATAGGGGTGAAGAATAATAAAAGATTTTATTTTTGAAACATCTTGCATAGTTGCCCTGGTTGGAGTGCAGCAGCACGATCATAGCTCCCTGTAGCCTAGAACTCCTGGCTCAAGTGATCCTCTGCCTCAATGTCCAGCATAGCTGAGACAACAGTTTGGAACTATCACACCAGGCTAAATGTTTTTAATGCTTCAAGTTTTTTGTATAAATGGGGTCTCACTATGTTGACAAGGCTGGTATCAAATTCCTGGCCTCAAGCAATTCTATCTCCTCAGCCAATCAATATGCCAGGAATACAGGCATGAGACACCGTGCCTGGCCAGCGCCTTTATAATGTTTTATTCTCCCAAGTTCTTCTCAAAAAAGTCAACATCCACCAAGTATCAGCTGAGATTTGAACTTCAACCCTGGGCTGAACTCAGTGGCAGGACTCTCCATTCCCAACAAGGGACAAATGGAGAAATAAATGGTGAGAGGGAGGAGCTTGATTCTGCCCATGCTAATTGGACACCTATTGTGTGCTAGGAAGACACACAGAGGTCAATCCAAATTCCAGCTCCAGCCACAGCAGGACAGCCATGGTGTAGAAGGCCTAGCCCAGAGGAGGGAGCCTTAGCAAGAGGAACACCCCTCCATGGAGTATTGACATTCTGTTACTTCAGTTATACTGAAAACTAGTAGAAGGTAAGAGATGTTGTACTCAACCATTATGATCAAGAAAATCCATTCAATCTTCTTTAATTTGGTTAAAATTAGCCTTTATTAAAAGGCAGCACAGAGTAATGCTTGCCTGTGAGAATTTAAAAACATCATAGCAAACCACTCCGTTCTCAGTTTAAGAGGGAAGGTGAAAGGCTTGTGTGGGAGAATAAGAAAAAAACATATTTATGTAATACTTTGAGTTTCTATTGCTCCTAACCACCATTGCTACATAATTATTCCAAATTATAGCTCTTATTTACCCATCCTACTGTTAAAAAGTACCTCACTGATTCTGTAACCCCCAACTAATCCACCCTATAGTCCCTAGATGACCAGAGATGCCTATTATCCTCTGCTTTTTACTGTCACTCTCCCCAGTCCAGCAAACTCATTCCTCTTCCTGCATAAGCCTCCTGTGTTTCTGCCTTTTTTTATCTGCACCCTCTGCTGAGATTCTTTTGTCTTCACCCATCCCAAAGCCATCCATACTTCCACTGCTTGACTAGGGGTAATTATCTCATTCACCCAGCCTAATTTTTAACCTTACCTTCCTGCTCCCACCCTCTCTTCACTCTGAACAAGATTTTACTAGGTTGTTGTTATGTTCTGGGGTTCGGAGAATCTGACTAGTGTGAGTTTCCCAAGGTAAAGGTAATGCCTTAATAATTTTCACTTTAATTGCTGTTTGCGCAGTGTTTTGCACAAAATTTAACACAATAATTGCTCCCGGAGTAAATGCATAAATCTTTGTAATATCCTATTTGGCTCCCTTAGAGTCTGAAACTTTTCCCCTTCAACCATCCAGAGTCCTGTCTAACCAAAGTGAAAATGGGGAACTCCCTCTTTCTGGCTGGCATCACTGCTGAGAACGGAAATAAATGCTGTCTATGCCAACTCCCTAGAACAAGTATAGGTTTCGTCTAGACTAGTTTTCAAAATGAGGAAACAGGATGCAGACAAATACTTTATTCCCACTTTTTGGCCTGGGGTTTATTAACAAGGTGAAATTATACAGAAGAATAAATTAGTTTAGCTGAAAAAAGAAAAAATGTATAGTTAATGGAGGGAAAAAATTGAAAATGCAATAAAACCAGAAGATGTTCAGGAATTCAAAGTTGTTGATGCATAGAAATGCTGCTTATTTTTGTACATTGGTTTTGTGTCCTAAAACTTTACTTGCTTATCCGTTTCAGGAGGCTTTTCAAGTTTTCCCCAAAAGTAGTTTTGGAGAGGCTTTAGCATTCTCTACGTAGTGACTCATATTGCAAATGGAGAAAGAGAATTCAATTTCTTTTTCTATTTGTATGCCTTTTTCTTTTTTATTGGCCGATTGCTCTGGATAGGACTTTTAAATCTAATTAAATTGTATTTGTTAGATTTTTGTATATTTTAATATGTCTCCAATTAATTTTATATCTGTATAATGTCCCCTTATAAAGGAATATGTAGCTGTTTTAGTTATTTATTTTATTATTGATGCACATTTGAGTTTTTTTCAGTTTGGAAAAGTACCAAATAATGCTACTTCGAGCACTTTACTACATTGGAAAATATGCTGGCAATTCTATTGGGTGTATATACCTAGTAGCAGAGTTGCTGGGTTCTAGAGTGTGCTTATGTACATCGTGTATGTAAGGAGTTACTACTCAAGTGGTTTTGAATGTGGTTATAACAGTTTGCACACAGAATGGTATAAGAAAGTTCCAGTTGCTTGACATCATCACTAATACTTAATTTTGTCAGTTTTCAAAAATGTTAATGATTGCATAGTGGTATTCAATTGTAGTTTTCATATGCATTGTTCTGATGCATAAGAATGTGGATATGTTCATCTACTTGTTGGCCCTTCGGTTCTGTATGTGGAACTCCTAGTCATATCTTTGCCAATTTTGTTCAATGTATGCATCTTTGTTTATTAAGTGATGGGATTTAGCTTAATAATCTAGATAAAAAGCTTTTGCCAGATCAATATATGACAAATGTTGATTTCCACTTTGTTCTTGCCTTTCAGCTCTCCTGAAGCTTTTTTTTTTATGAAGAGAAGGTTTTAATTCTAATAAAGTCCAATTTGTCATATTTTTGTCTTGATAATTTATGCATTTTGTGTCCCAAGAAATCTTGGCCTGTGCCAAAGTCATGGACATACTTATCTATGTTATCTACTAGAAATATTGTTTTCAATTTTCACCTTAAAATTTAAAATCCACTTGTCTCGAAATTTGTTAACAATATAAGATAGGTTTATTTCTTTCTCACATAAATAACCAGATGACCCAAGGCTAATTACCGAGATGCTGTCTTCTCTCCACTGCTCTTCTGTGCCTGTTTTGTAATATACAAAATGTCTAAATGTGTGAGTCTGAGTTGGACTCTCGAGTTTTTCTAGTTTTCTTTGTGCCTATTTTTGCATTACTACCATAGATAGCTTTTATTACTATAGCTTTAATCTAAGTCTGAATATATGGCATTGTAAGCTCACAAACTTTGTCATTCTTCAGGACAGTTTTTACAGTTCTTTGATTTTTTAATATGTATTTAAATTTTTAAACTGATTAGACAGTTTCCACAAGATTTCTGCCAAAATATTGTATTGTGAAAATGGAAATCAATAAATCAATTTGGGGAGAAACACTAATAACATCTAAACCAAACTTAAAGAGAACACCACAATAAGAAAAGAAATTGCAAAATTGGAATAAATATTTTCAACACATGAAATTACAAAGGGGCTCATGTTTCCATGAAGAGCACTCTCTCTCTCCCTCTCTCTCTCTCTTTTTTTTTTTTTTTTTACAGAGACTCACTCTGTCACCCAGTCTGGAGTGCAGTCGTGCAATCTCGGCTCACTGCAACCTCCGCCTCCCAAGTTTCAGCAATTCTTCTGTCTCAGCCTCCTGAGTAGCTGGGGCTACAGGCTTGGGCCACCATTCCCCGCTAATTTTTTTGTAAGTTTAGTAGAGACGGATTTTCACCAGGTTCGCCAGGCTGGTTTTGAACTCCTGACCTCAAATAATCCACCTGCCTCATCCTCCCAAAGTGTTGAAATTACAGGTGCGAGGCACCACAGCTGACCTGTAAAGACCTCTTAAAAATTAGTTAAAAAACAAACAAAACAGATAAAGAGAAAGAAGAAACATCCACTCAGTTAAAAAAAAAAAAAAGAAAAAGAAAAGAAAAGAAAAAAAGGCAAAAGACATTATTTTACAGGTCTAGTGCCCTGTGCCCCTCACTGTAATGGGGGTGGATATGGGCTTCACAGGACATGAAATTCATCAAACAGTTGCTGGTTGAAGGTGGGAAAATCTTGCGGGACCGACCTCAAGAGCAGATCCTGTGGTGCACTGTTTCATCCTGTAGCCCTGGAAAGAAAACCTGGCTGTGCTGTGCTTTATGTTTGCCTGCACTGGCCCTGTTCAGAGGCCTGAGCACGCATGGACACCTAAGTCTGCCCAAACTTTCCCCATCCCAATATTCTCTGTGGTATTGAGCATGACACCCTGTCTTCACTGAGCATGTGCTCATACAGTTTTGTAGCCAACTCTTTATTTTACAACAGGAAGACTGAGACCTCCCAAAAAGGCAAAGACTGGTCCAGATCCCACAAATTGGGCAAAGCACAGAGTATTAGGGAGGGATCCAGCTTCCTAGGCCTTGCATGCACCCCACCCATCAGGTTTGCTTTGGAAATGAGAGCCCATGAGTCCTGGAAAACCCTGTGCTCTACTTTCTACCTGGGCTTTCTACTCTTCAATGTTGTCACATAGGCGTGCAGGCATGCACACACAAACACATCACACACACACACACACACACACAGGCTTCTAAATTGGAGATCTAAAGTGGAGATTCTAAAGTGAGGTTAGGGAAGAGGAAACCAAAGAAGTGACAAAAGGGGAAGAAACAGTAGATGCAGCTTTGCCATGAGGCAGAGGCATCCACTCCCCCAGCTACATGACCAGGAGCTGACAGCATGCGATGAAGGATCCTCCAGGTTCCCTGGGTTCTTCCAAGCCTGGGGACTTTCCCAGCTGTTTCAAGAGGACAGGACTGGGGTTGTGACTCCCACTTCTGTGGGCACCTGGAACTAAAATGAGCTATGCCCTCCACCCACCACCCCGTGTGATATAAAGACAGGCTACGGGAAAGAAAGCCTTTGTTTTCTCCCTCATAAATAGGGGTACTGAGAAGGAATAATACCAAGGATTCTAGATACTCATAGGTGTCTGCCGCCCTTGGCTTTTCATTGGTAAATCACTGTGCTTTGAGACTCTGGGAAGAGGCTTTTCAGTTTCTAGAGGTCCTTCAGAGAAGAGAGAGGCCTAGAGACTTGGGCGGATGAGGACTTGGAATAAAGCACAATGTGACAATGCACTGGGCTCTGGAGTGTGGGGCCCAGAAAAAATACTAGTTTTTTGGGCTGTCCTTGAGGTCCTCATTCGGAAGTGGAAGAAAATAATGTCGCCGAATGCTGTTAAAATGTTTAATGAGTGCACAGCACACTCAAAGAGGCTGAGGAAAATAGGAATCAAGGGAGGCTTCCGAGGTCACTTTTATGGCCCTTGGAGCCTTCAGATACTGCTCCTTTTCCCAGGGGTCCCTGAAGAGCCACTGCCTTGAGAATTCCCCAGTGCAGGTACCTGTTTTGTGATGCTTCTGCCTGGGACTACAGTGCTAGCGGAGGTCTCTAGGTGGCTGCAGACCCCGTGTTTCTTGTGCCCGCTGGACTTGACTGGAGTAGCTGGAGCCGTGGGAGAGACAGGCTGAGGGCCTGCAGCTCCTGTTATCATTCTTGATCTCCACATTATTGGGTGACCGAAAGCAGGAAGGACTTTGTGATTTTCCATGTTATTTTACTCAGCGACTCTTCCCCTAGCACTCACCCTGTGGCAGCTACCTTGGTAGGTTCACCATGTGGTACCAAAAACGATTATGTTATCCCTGCATCCCCGCGGGGAGCCTACAGTCTGAGGACGGCAGGACAAAAACACTAAAGCAAGTACATGCGAAAGAAAAGAGCATTTTATAATGGAAATAAAGTAGAATGTTGGGAGGGAGGGCTGGGGAGAGGTTGCCTGGAGGAGACATGAATGCCTCCCTGAGGTGACATTATGTTGTGACGAGAATGACAACTGCGCAGGTGTGGAAAGTGTGTCAGGGAAAAGCCACTCTTTGTGAAAAGACTCAGAGGCACAAGTCAGTTTAGCAGAGGAGGTTATAAAGGGACAAGTGTGGCTGTAGGCAGCCTGAGAAAGAAAGGAAAAGAGGGGAGGGTGTATCCTGGGGCCTGAAAGAGGAGATTAGTCATTTGCCGCTCTCTGACAACATTGCCCTGAATTTTAGCACATTTTGACAACAAATACTATCTCACAATTTTTGTGAATCAGAATCTCGATATAGCTTAGTTGGGTGCCTCTGCCTCAAGGTCCCCTATGAGGCTGGGGCTGTGATTTCAACTGAAGCTGGATTTGGGGAGAGATCAGCCTCCAATCTGCCTCATGGAAATTGGCAGGATTCAGTGTGAACTGAGAACACCAGTTTCTTCCTGTTGATTGGCCTGGGCAGTTCCTCAGTTCTCTATCATGTGGGTCTGTGCCTAGAGCATCTTAGGACACTGGAGATCGCTTCCTCATCTTGAAGAATACAATAGAGAGATGGAAAATGAAAGAGATAGACAGACATATGCACAGAAAAAGAGAAAGGGAGACAGAGAGATTGAGAGACGAAACACAGGACAGAGCAAGTGGGAGGAAAATAATAGCTGTTTTGGAAATATAACTTTGGAAGTTGCAGTAGACTATGTGATTCCCCACCATATTCACATTCCAGAACATTAATCCCCAGTTTAATGGCCTTAGCAGGTCAGAGGTAATTAAGTCCTAAGCATGAGGCCCTCGTGGTAGAGATTACTGGCTTTGTAAAAGAAACCGCAGAAGGCTGTCTGTCCTTCTCTCTGCTAAATGAGAATACAACCTGAAGTCTGGAGTTCGAAACTCAGAAGAGAGTCCTTACCAGACCACAACCATGCTGGAAGCCAATCTCAAATTTCTAGCCTCCAGAACTAAAGTCTTTTGTTTATAAGTTGCCTAGTCTATGTTTTTTGGTATAGAAGCCTGAACTAAGTCAGAAGTGATAACCTATCACATTTGTTGTATTCTCTTTGACAGAAACTAGAACCAGGTCCCCAAAGAGTTCAACCAACGACTAGCAGAAATTCTTCAGTTTGCAGAATGACAGATAAGAAAAGATAGAACTTGTTGAAAGAATGAAATTTATTCCACTTATGAGACTTCTAAAAAGTGGCTAAAATTGGTTGGAACCAATATGGTCAACTGGAGTCTGTGTGAAATAAGCTCACTGATGTAAGAGCCCAAATTTCCATCACATGTTTTGTACTAACTGTCCCCAAATTTGCACATGACCTGTGTGTAGCAGGAAAAGATGGCTGTTCATGCCCAGTGACTTTCCATACATTTTTCCTTTCAGCAATTCCCTGCTAAACAAGAAGCCACCTCTTAAACCTTTCTGAGAATATTACTACCTTTAAGTAAGCACAGGGAAAGAGGCTTCAGCTGGAATCCAATGTCTTTGTTGGAAACCCGGTGTTATAGTACCGGCTTCTGAGGCACTGAGCGGTGAGCTGCGTTTTTAAATAACAGAGTCACTCACAACTTAGTGTTGTTGTGAGACTTTGTTGGGGGTGCCCACCACATAGGCTGAGATGAAGCATATACATGTGATTCCAAATATAATGCACAGCACTGGAATATTTAATGCCAGAATACAGTATCTGATTTTCTTTTGATTTCAACCTCTTCTGCTGTAGAATGGAAAAATAAGGCCATATATATAAAATATATATCTTTTATGTATACAGATATATGAAATATATATCTTTTATACATAAAGGTGTATATGTATAAGTTTATATATTATATATAATATATAAATATAAATTATATATACATAGTATATATATTTTTTTGAGACACAGTCTCGCTATGTCACCCAGGCTGGAGTGCAGAGGCATGATCAAGGCTCAATGTAATCTCTGCTTCCTTGGCTCAGGTGATTCTTACACCTCAGCCTCCTGAGTGGCTGGGATTACAGGCAAGCATCAACACATCTGGCTAATTTTTGCATTTTTAGTGGAGAAGGGTTTTTGCCATGCTGGCCATGGCTGGTTTCAAACCCCTGGCCTTAAGTGTTCCACCCATCTTGGTCTACCAATCTGCTAAGATTACAGGCAAGAGCAACTACATCCAACTGATTTTGATTCATTCTATCTCATATATCGCCAATGACTCTTTCTGGAAGTTGATGCTAGCCTAATCCCATTATGCATACTTCAGGGCTGGGGAGAACTGAAGCACACAGTCATTTTCATATGGTCACAGAAATGAAAAGGAAAAGAAGATTTTAATCCAACTCTGTTCTCTCAAACCTGGGGCCCTGGCTGTATTTAGATCTTTTTGGGGAGTAAGAGGCATAATTGTGTTTGCATAACTGTTTACAGGAAAAGAGTTGACATGGGAGATGAGGGTGAGCAATCAGCAGCCCAGTAGGGACTTTGCATAGATTTATGGAGGAAAAGGGCTCAGGGGATAAAACCTTGAAGAAGTTAACAGACTTCCCTTGTGACAGAACCTAACAGAATTTAGAACTTTGGGAAACAGAAACCCACATTCTAGAGAGAGCCCTCTATCTAGCTAATTTCATGGGAGATGCTTGAGAGAGTACTGTGTTCTCATTGTGTGCTATATTCCTAAGCTGTTGCCTGAGAAAGGTTCAAAGTGAGAGACTTTTCTGACCATATACATATTGGCTCAGCCCACATCCTTGATACCACTGGCCATTCAACAAGAGGCAAACAGAGGTAACACAGTGAAGCCCAGGTCAGGTCCGTCCATGCCAGGCCACCCGTGTCATCTAATCTGGGCAACCCGACCCTGTCTACCATTACCATGTGTTGCAGGGGGAGCAGGAAAGGAGGGGGCTCTTTCTCACAGGGGCAGGCTGTAAGGCATTGGAACCCTGGCGGCTATGTCATGTTCATACCCAGGTCATGGCTGGTGGAATAAAAAGTTGAGCATTGTGGACCAAGTGTGTCTACTCAGATGTGAATCCCAAGGCCTTAAGCTGTCCTCGGGTTTCCTCATTGGCTGGGGGTCTATGCAGATACTCCTATGTTCCTGATCTAGGAAACAGAATTTCTAATGGAGATGTCACCTGGTGGTAAAAACAAAGGAGATAATTAATTTTTTTTCTTTTTTCTTTTTTTTTTTTTCCTGCTTCACTGCTGGGAACACTCTCTGTAGAGTTTCATTAAAATCATTGAGCAGATATTTGATGGGTTCAAGTCCCCCATCTCCTTGGACAACTGGCAGGTTCACCACACCCCCAAGCATGGCATACAGTGAGTTACGGTGAGAGCAGGCACATGGGGGTCTCTACAGACAGGGGTCTGACAAAACCAGGATGGGCCCAGGATCCAGACCCAAATATGGAATTTCTCTGGGCTCTCTCTTAGGGGATTTCCATGAGTGACCCAAAGATGTGCCTCCCAAAAATCTAGCCTTAACTAGTCCCAAAGGCAGCTTGGTTAAGTGTAAAGTCCCTTTTTACATTCTTGTAGAAATATCAGAGAAGGCCTTTGTGTTGTTTTTACTTTACACTAGGCTGTATTTATTCATGTTTCTACAGTTTGTATGGTTTTAATTTTTCCCCCCTGGTATCACCTGTAGCAGGCAGGTTCACGGCACTGCCAGACCTTCCCCAAGACTTCAAAGCCACCACTATCACTAATACTCTAGAAAAATAAGGAAGAGTTTACATGAAAAGGGGGTTATATTGTTCCCTGCATTTGTCTGCAACGTGTCATCTCAGAGAACACATCCCTCTAGCCCATCAGGGCAGAAGTGGTGCCCTCACATCTCTTTGTAATGTTCTATAATGGGGGTCACTTCCCAGAGTGGTTTAGCCTTTCAGTGACTATTATTTCTGATCAAAATGGAATAAAACTAGAAATGAATAACAGAAGAAAACAAAAATAGCAACATATATATGGAAATTAAACAACTCACTTTTGAGCATGCTCATGTTTAAGGGTTGTAAGACTTGATATTATGAAGAATGCTCATGATGCCTAAAGCGAGTTACAGATTCAATGCAATCCCTTTTAAATTAGCAATGTTTTTGAAATAGAAAAAGGAACCAACAAATTATATGGAATGTCAAGCGACCATAAAGAGCCCAAAAATGTTTTAAAAAAAAACAATGTTAGCGGCCTCAATTTTCTGATTTCAAAGCACATTACAAAGCAACAGCAATGAAAACAGTTTGTTTCTAGCATAAAGACAGACAATTTTTCCAATAAAACAGAAGGTAGCACACATGTAAACCTCATACATATGAGCAAATAGCTATTTGCATACCAATATTCATTGCAGCATTATTCACAAAGGCCAATAGGTGAAAGCAACACAAACTTTCCTCATAGAATGAATAAATAAATATAATTTGTAATACAAAAGTAATGGAATATTACTCAGCTTTTAAAGGCAGAAAATCTTGTACCATCCACAATAAAGAGAAATCTTGAGAACATGATGCTAAGTAAAATTAGTCACAATAAAACAGATACTCTATGATTCTACTTATATGTAATATCTAAAGTATTGAAACTTAGAAACAGAAAATAGAATGATTTTTATCAGGAGCCAGGTTGTAAGGAAAATGGGTAGTTGTCATTTCATGTGTCCTGAGTTTCAGTTTTGCAAAAGAAAAAAGTTTTACAAATATGTTGCAAAGCAATGTAAATACATTAACATGACTGAACTGTATAAGAAAAAATATTAAAGATTCTAAATTTTATGTTATGTATTTTTACCACAATCGAAATTAAAAATGACACCCAAGGGCCAAGAGAGATGGCTCATGCCTGTAATCTCAGCACTCTGGGAGGCTGAGGCATGCAGATTACTTGAGGCCATGAGTTCAAGACCAGCCTGGCCAACATGGTGAAACCCCAGCTCTATGAAAAACACAAAAATTAACCAGGCGTGGTAGTGCACACTTTTAATGCCAGCTACTCAAGAGGCAGCAGCTGGAGAATTGCTTTAACCTGGGAGGTGGAGGTTGCAGTGAGCCAAGATTGTGCCACTGCACTTTGGCGACAGGGTGAGAGTCTGTCAAAAAATAAATAAGTAAAGACACCTGAAGAGAGAGAGTTACAAAGTTTTTGAAAAATTATCTTCAAATCGCATAAGTCTTTCTTTCACACTAGGATAATATAAACAATAGATGTTGAAATTAAGACAATTTCCATGATTACTCACTTAGACAGAATCAATTATTGTCCATCAAACAAGAAGAAAATACACAAGTCATAAACAAAATAGGGGCAATATTTATACAAGCAAACAAACAATTAAATCATTATATTAACAAAAGACCATAGGGATGCTTCATATTTTTTGCCTCACACTGTCTTAAGCTGTACAGATTTGAATATTGTCATAGAAAATTATATTATATAAATTCAAACTAAAAACAATAAACTGATGTAAGGTGCCCTACCCTAAAACATGAAACACAGAAATGCAAAATTGCAAAACAAACTTAAAAGAAACCTTCCCCGAATTCTTACTTGAATAATGTAATTCAAAATCATAATAAATAGGTAGAAAGTAAAAACACAATTAACTGCTGTGAGACAGCCTACTCTAAAAAATACAGAAACATAAATTCTAAAACATAATTAAGAGAAACTTTGATCTATAAAATCCTGAATAAACATAGTGTCCAACTGAAAAAGAATCCTAGGTAACTACAATTTTCAACTCTTCCTTTGAATCCATAAAAAGTATAAATTTTGAATTACTTGGATACAATTAGGGCAACAACATTTCAAAGAAACCATATTATAATTATTAAAAAGAGATGTGATGAGAAAGTTTTAAGGAATAAAAATTTAAGTAATACTAGAGAAAGTTTTAAATTATGCTACTGATGCATTGCTTCTTTCCTTACACAAAAGGGTAAGGCTGTAATCTAGCCTTTAATAGAAAGGTCTTACATTTTTACATATGGTAACAATATAAATATTGTAAATACAGTATAAAACATTGACAGATAAAATAAAAACTGGAAATAAATTGTACTATTAGTCAAATAAAAGTTGGGAAAACTGGAAGAAAATGCTAATAGTAATATTGTGCCTAGAGTCAATTAAACATACAAGCCAAATATTTTAATAATTAATTATATAATTGATACATAACATATACATTTGAGCATGCTGTTTTACAACTTCTCAAACTGAAATTACAGAAAAATGTGACACATGATAATTCAGAAAGTGAAAACACAGTCATAGTAATCTTCATATTAAAGAAAACAGAATCATAAAATAATAAGTGAGAAATAAGGTAATAATTGTGAATTCAATATATGTTGAACAATATTCTAATTTCTCTTACGGAAAAAGTTTTTGTAAGAAATCTGTAAAATGAGTACTTACAATAAACCATCCTACAGTAGAGGCTGTTGGCATACAGTGTTTAAATTTCTATGATTAGGTCCTACTAAGGAAAAGAAAATTTTAAAATAAAATAATTAGATTTTCCTATTTAATAAGATAATTTTTGCCTATAAAGTTTTTCAGTCTAATTTTTTTTGTAGAATTAGGTTTTAGCCTTCATAAAACTTGACATTATGAAGCAGAAAACAGGTGTCATCTGTCTCTGTTGTTCCTGGAATTTCTAACCCAAATGCCAATTCCTCCACAACTCCCCTCACACACTTCTGAATTGAAGCACAACAGATTTATTAAAAATGGCATAACAGCGGTCTCCAGAAATGTGCAGAGATTTTCCCAGATCCCTAAAAGCAATGACAAACTATTCAGATCATTTAGGTTCTCACAAGATTCTGGGAGGACTTCGGCTTTCAGTGTGAATTCACTGGAAGATTCTAAGAGAGAGGAAGAGAGAGAGAATGTGTGTGTGTGTGTGTGTGTGTGTGTGTGTGTGTGTGTGTGTGTTGAAATCAGAACCCCACCTTATGTGTTTATTGTGGAATTTGGAAATGAAAGCCTAAAGCCCAAAATTAAAATCACACATAATAGCACGTTGCAAACTGTTTTCTGTGCTAGATGGGTCGTTCTAGGGTGTAGGACCCTGGTAACACCGTTTTCCCCTCCTTCCGGAAAGAGCTACTCACACTGCTCAAAGCCTGCATCCACATGTACCATGTCGAAGACCAGCTCAAGAGCCTGGACCCATATGCCACCTTCAGCAGGGTTGACTGCAGCTCCTTGTTCTTCCTGAGCATCTTCTCCAATGGTGACCTGAGAGTTGCGGGAGGCATTGGGGCCAGGATTGAACAGAGGAAAAAGGAGCATGGAGGCCAGGTGCTGAGGACCAGGCCATCTTACCTGGAGAGTTCTGGCCCTGAGACATCCAGACCAACATGACGTTTAGGTGCAGACAGCTGGCCCTGGGTGGCCCTGTGCTGATCACCGGCCTCGGCCCCTCAAACAGTGGGAAATGGAAGAATGGCTTGGAAATGGGCCCTGTCGACTGTGTGTCATCTGAGCACATTCTCCCAGGGGCCCAAGAAGGGCCATCGTGTCTCCAGAACCAGAACTGGAAGGTAAACTGTCAGGGGGGACAAGGAAGAGGGTCCTCAGTTGGGTGGAGGGTCTCACAGCAAGACGCCTGGCTTAATCAAACTTGGCCATTCCTGAAGCACGTTCAGTGACTAAAAGTGCCTAACATGAGCAGCTGGAACCCACTCCCTGAGAGCTGCAAGATCCATGGGGACCTCATGTACCTGTTTGTAATTACAGACAAGGACCAGCAGGCAGCATTACCGCATCCACATGGGGCTTTTGCTGGACACAGTAAGTCTCTGCCAGCCCCTCCCAGGCTCCTGGGATGCCACTTGTTCTGGATCTGTGGACAGATAACCAGGATACTTGCTCAGTGTCCATCCACTCCTTGTGGCCTGAAGCCTATCGCTCAACCCTAGCCCCACCAGACCTGCTTCCTAAGGCATTCCTCTTGCCAGAAGGAAAGGCAATGCCTTTGTCCCACAGCCCCTGCCTTGTGTCATGTCATGTGGGGGTATGGAATGAATCGGCAGCCGAAACTCCTGTCCTTCTGCCTGAGAATTCTATCTTCTCTGTCTGAGTTACCCTCTAGGGAGCTGTCAGTGGGAGAGAGAGCAGCTGTGGAAGAGAGTCCCACCTGCTTCTGTTTGACTTCAGGGCAGCCTCTCAGGGCAAGAACCCAGAGCAGGTGGAGGCCTCACAGAAGCCTGTGGCAGGGCTCTGGGCTTGATGGGCTGAGCATCTCCCTATCTGCTGTCTGCAATGGGGCCCAGAACCATCCATTCAAGAGGGTCACCACCATATTGCAGGTGTGCAGCTGGACTGTTCCCAAGGCAGAGGCTGCCATGGACTGCAAGCACACAGAGGATGTACACCTTGAGCGTGGACTATGAGGAGAACATTTTTGAAGAGGTGCATGCAGCCTGGCCCTGCCTTCACTGGGAACCCCCTTCCTTCTGGGTACTAGACAGAATT
This sequence comes from Homo sapiens, assembly GCF_000001405.40. Taxonomy (NCBI): domain Eukaryota; kingdom Metazoa; phylum Chordata; class Mammalia; order Primates; family Hominidae; genus Homo; species Homo sapiens. Next base: position 7,005,655 of record NC_000021.9, on the reverse strand, counting down.
CTGTACACTTTCCTGGAGGCTCCATTCTGGTCTGTTCATTTGGAAGTTTCAGGCTGTCTGTGAGGAAGTAACAAAAGAGATGTCTCAAAGCAGGTTGTGGGGCACAGGCTGAGCCCTTGTCTCCCTCCCTAGTCCCTCTGCAGACACGGGGCTGGAAGAAGGACCTGTGGATAATGAGGGAACTGCTCTTCGAGAACCGGCCTGAGCAGCTGCTTCAAGAAAGAGCCACATTAAAGGTGCCTATAGCCCCTGATGAGGGAATGGCAGCCTCAGGCCCGCCTGCCATCTGTGAGCAGGTTTTCTTGCTAACAGGATGAAAGCAAAGAAAGCTGGAATGAGCCCAGCCCTCTCAGGCAGCTTGAAGGCTGTTGGGGCTCTTTCCAGGCCTTCTAGCCTTATGCTTTTTGGCAGGCCACTTAGGCACCTTTTTCCAGCCTCTGAGACTTCCATGCTCTGGAAGGAGAGGGTCCCACTTTTCACTAGGCTATGGGGCAGGCCCATCCAGCTCCCGGCTGCCACTAACAACCATGGGGCTCTCACCTGGGCACCCACTGCCCAAACATGGCCCTTCTAAGGCAGAAGATCATGTGTCTTGCAGTTTCAGCTTGCTAGGGCTTAAAAGTTATCAGTGCTGTTATTAAGATAGGGAAGTGAGAAAGGAAAACTTGCTGTAAAAGTTTCCCATAATCTTACCACGGAGATCATCAGCACAGATGACAGCACAGGTGGGGCTGCTGGGGAGGCTGAGGGAGAGTGTCCAGCCTGTTCTGCCAGCTGGTCCTTGCCAGGGGTGTCTCGTGACCCAGTCCCTTAGAGAAGCATGCAGATATCTTAGCAAGTATCTGGAAGGTGCAGATCAGGGCAACCCAGCACCACTGATGGTGGAGTGGGCCTACCTCCCATCAAGCTGTGTCTCCACAGCTGACCCTTGAAGCCAGGAGGTGATTTACAACATGTGCAAGGCAGTGAGCTCCATCAGCTGTGTGGCCTTCAACATTCACTTCAACTCGGACATCTCACCAGAAAGCAGTGGGGACTGGCCAATGCAGAAGCCTGCAAAGTGGAACAGAGCGTCATGGGGTGGGGGATGTGGGGCCTGCCTGCTCATCTGAGCACTGCTCCCTGAGGGTGTGATCTGCAGGCTTCCTGAAGGAGGGCTGTGAGCTCATCTGCGAGGCCCTGAGCCTGTGGAACATGGCTGAGGCCAAGCCCATGGGGATTTGTGTCTACTTGCACCTCCTTGCTCATCTCAGTACACTACAGGTGACTGTGCCGAGGTGGGCCTTGAGCATCCCCTGGGCTGTGTTAGCAAAGGGCTCTGGGCCTGGCCTGGCATTGAGGGATGGCAAATAAGGGGCCTGGGGTTGCATTGTCACCCCCTATGGTAGCATAAAATGAGAGAGTCCGACCTGCAGGACTGGAACCCTATCAAGGGGGTTAGGAGGCTGCTCACTTTCCCTCAGGGACCCATGTGGAGGAGCTGAGGGAGGTTAAGGAGACCCTAGGGACTCACTTGTTCTGTCTGGGCTTCCCTCTGCTCCATCGTTTGATGACCATTTTCTGGGAAGAGCTCAGGAACCTCCTGTGCTCTAGTGAGACGGGGCCTCCCCTCACAGGGTATTCTGAGACTGTGAGTGAGAAGCTAACACAGTGCCTTGCAATACTCACGGGAGCTGTCATCCTCTGTGACCATCACGTGGCCTTGTAGTGTTCAGACTGCCTGGCCTGCCTGGGGTTTGGTGAGGCTGTTTTGTGGTCAGCTGCTTTAGAAGCTCACTTTCTCTGCAATCAAACAGTGACTGTTTTCATGTCTGTTTATGGGTTTAAAAAATCCTAATATTTCCTTTATAGTAGTTTCAGCTTGCATGTGTTTATTTGTATAAATTTTAGTGGAATAAAGAGAGCTTAAGACAACAGCATTTTAAGGTCTTAATGAGGCATAGACTTTCATGTCACAACAGCTAATGTTGACCTCTGTTTGCTACCTTTGTGTAAAGTATACACATAAAGTACAGCCAGAGGTGACTAGAGCTGAGCTGCTTGGGCTTGCTTGCTGGCCTGCAGTCAGGTGGACTCTGGCTGCAAGGCGGTGCCCACCCTGGATCTACATCCCCCACTCTCTCTCCTTAGTCTCTGAGTAACCAACAAGGCCGTGCTAATGAGCGGGCGAGTGATGGGCATCGCGTACCCCAATACTATCTGGGAAGATTTGAATGCCAACTGGGCTGGAGCTGTTGGGATTAGGGGCTGTGGCTGCCTTGGCTTGTCATGGTGCCACCCACAGATGTGCCTGCCCTGTGCTGCTTCTCCAGCAACCGGCTGCCCATGGCCCTGAGCCTGTCACACCATGCTTGCTACCTCATGCTACTTGTGTTTGAAAAACCCATCCAGAGATGGCATTGCTGGATGTGAGTGCTGAAAAGGGGGCAGCACCTTTGTCCTGGGGGATTAGGAGCTGACCAGATTCCTCTTGACTCCCTCCCAGAACAAGAGGGGCAGGTGCTGCAATTAATGATGCCCCCCAGAAGATGTGTTTGCACTGGCTGAGGGAATACACGATGCAGAGACCTAAATGAAGACACGTGAATGGGGTGTGTGGGCATCAGTTAGCAACTGGGAAACAGGTGCCTCTCAGGCCTCTCGTGCTCCAGCAAGAGTGGAATATGCCTGTGCCCATGAGTGTAGACATCTGGAGTGTATACATTTGGCTGCTGCTTTTGCTGCCACTATCCCCAGGTCCAACCTGGCTTGAAGTCCAGGTTTTAAGTAAAAAAATAGGAGGCTTTTTGCCATACAGCTACTTGAGAGGCTGAGGTGAAAGCATCACTGGAGGCTAAGAGTTTGAGGCTGCAGTGACCCATGATTCAGCCACTGCACTGTCAGAGTGAGACCTGCGTGCACCCTTCTACAGATAATAGCTCTGGGGCATTTGGGGATCCCTACAGTCCGGGACATCTCCCTGTCCCCTGCTGCCTGTGCTTCTTCCCTTGCCTGCTGTCAGAGCCTAACATGGAGGAGGAGGTTGCTGCCCTGTGAGCCTGAGGGAGCTGTGTCTGACTGGGACTTCTGTCTGGGGTTTTGTGAAGAGCTACTTATGAGTATGGTCTGTACAGATACCTTGTTTCAAAGAAAGTGAGCATGAGCTAGCAAGTGTAGCCACCCCACAGCTGATAAACAACTTTGTCTTGTTTTTAAATCATCAATCTTCATTTCACATTGGAATAAAGTAATTGAAGCCTGCTACCCCAGCCTCGCCCGTGTGTTCTGTAACCCAGACTCATTTCGTTGTGTGGGCTGTTGTCAGAAATGTTATAAAAAAAATTACGCATAAATAATATCAAATGTAAAATTATGCTTATAATGTCACTTGAGTGGGTGGTAAGAGGGTAGAGTCACAGGAAATCTGTTGGGGTTTACACCCCTGATACTTACCAAGCTCATGAGAGTGTGGCAGAGGTGATCATCACCTGACATTTGTGGCAGAAGAGAAAAGTCCAGCCTGAAGGCCAGGTAAGGGAGAGGTGCCAGGTTGTGGGGCCAGGCCCTGCGCATGCTGGGCCTGTTATGTCACTGAACATCTAACTGCCCGGGAACCGGCTCTTTTCACATCATCTGAGGTAAGAGGATGGAGAAGCACTCTCCAGAAGTCACACTGCGCTGGGAGAATAGAGGAGAGCCTACAACTCACCATCCTAAGGTAGGTTTTACATTGAGCTGAACTGTCTTCGAGAGCTAATGAGATGGGAGGAAGACAGTCCCCCAGGTGCACCTGACAGCCAGAGCCTATGAAGTTAGGGGGGTTGTGTGGGGGTGGCCTGTTCCTATGAGAAGAGGAGCTTAAAGCTACTAAAGCTGGTGGCTGCTGCTCTGCCATCCCTCTACAGAGCAGGCAGGTCCTCAGCTGCATGTATAGCTGAATGTCTTTTGGAGTGTTAGAGAGTCCTCTATGTCTTAGAAATTTTGAAAAGAAAAACAAATCTCAATTTTAATGTTGATTAGTTTCTCTGAGCCAGTTGGGAAAAAGATGTCCTTCACCTCAAAGATTTAAGTGACACCGAAGGGTAGCCACCAGTGTCTCGGCCACTGAAGCCTCATGCATGCTCTCACTACCAGTTTGATTTGCAGCCCCATAGTTGTGTTGTACTACATATTCTTTCCTCTGGCCTTGTCCAGTGAACACGGTTCACATGGCTAACACCACTTCTTGAGATGCGAGCACCATGCAAAGCTGAGAACGGATTGGGTTTTGTGACGATTGTGCCTCCTCCTCACCTGAGAGGCCCATTTTTCCTGGTTGATTCATTAAGTGTATTAGTGCTGTCAGTCGCCTCTGGACAATTGAAATGACAAGTGGCTGTTGATTCATAAAGAAAATGAAGGCTTTAGATGTGAAACCCTCGTTTTCTCTTGTCCTTCTCTTAGGTGAAAGATTTTATTTTTTTCAAAAGGCTACATACTGGTATCCCAGCAGGTGTAGTGTGAGAACTGGCATATGTTAGGCTATGGTGTCAGTGTGGATGGGCAATTCTTCAAGATGGAAAACCAAGTCTCACTGAGTTGCTGGAGCCACAGTGACCTTTCTCCACATCCCCCACCATGGGCTTTCACTTTTCTCCTGTGCTTGAATTTTTTTCACATACAAATTCTTTATACACACACACAGACAGACACACACATATCTCACTCTGTCAATGCAGTGGCTGAATCATGGGTCACTGCATCTTCAAATTCTTAGGCTCCAGTGATGCTTTCAAATCAGCCTCTCAAGTAGCTGGGACTACAGGCATGCAAAGCTACACCCAGACAATTTTTAAATATTTTTCTAGAGACTGAGCCTACTTATGTTGCTCAGACTCGTCTTGAACTCCTGGGATCAAGCGATCATCCCACCTTGGCCACCCAAAGTGTTTAGATTACAGGTATGAGCTAGCACTCTCAGCAAAAATATATTTTAAAGAACCGTTACAACCAAATTATGAGTTATCATTATGCCACTGCCCTCCAGCCTGGGCACCAGAGCAAGACCTTGTATCCAAAAACTAAGCAAAACTAAGCAAGAACAAAAAAAAAACCTTATAACTAAATTAAACTTTGAAGATTGTGTCATCTGTGTCCTTCCCTGCCCTCCAAGCTATCAATGTTAAATATAATGGTTATTGAGAAAATGGTTAGATATTATTAAGAAATTTCTATATATCCTCCAGCTGAGAATAGGTATTCTGATGTGGCCCAAATATTTTCTCACCGCTACCTTCAGGGTCTAAACTAGCAAGTCAGGACACCTGCAGAGGACAGTTGACCATTTTCAAATAGAAAGAGAAATACCCCGTTCATGAGAGTAATCCAGTGATTTTCAAAAAGACAAGACACACTGACATCCAGCGCAGTCAGGGCACAATTACCTTGGAAAAATCACCTCACACAGAATGGTTGAGGAGACTTTCTAAGGTGAGCAAATTTGGGAAACATAATCCTTTCTTATTTATTTCCAGCCCCCGCTGCCCCCCTGATTCCTAATGGTCACACAACAGTGTGGTCAGCAGTGGGGTGCAGTGTTGTGAGAGAGGGGCTCAGGGATGGGATGAAGGTCTTTACCGCGTTACAAAAATGCAGGTTAAAAAGTTGCTAAAAAGATGTCTAAATATTCTAATTCGTACTGTTACATAGCTGCTAAGATGCATTATACAACAGACCCAGGTAAGGGAAAGAGCACGTGCATTTCAAGTCTCAGCTCACGTCTGAATTAGCTGTGATACTCTGGGCACGTGACCCCAAATATAGGAGCCTGTTTGCCTGTCAACCCAAAACAATCCTAAGCAAAAACAACAAAGCTTGAGGCATCCTGCTACCCGACTTCAAACTATACTACAAGGCTACAGTAACCAAAACAGCACAGTACTGATACCAAAACAGATATATAGACAAATGGAACAGAACAGAGGCCTCAGAAATAACATCACACATCTACAACCATCTGATCTCCGACAAACCTGACAAAAACAAGCAATGGGGAAAGATTTCCTACTTACCAAATGGTGCTGAAAGAACTGGCTAGCCACATTCAGAAAACAGAAATTGTACCCCTTCCTTACACCTTATGCAAACATTATCTTAAGATGGATTAAAGTCTTAAATGTAAAACACCAAACCATAAAAACCCTAGAAGAAAACCTAGGCAATACCATTCAGGACATAGGCATGAGCAAAGACTTCATGAATAAAATACCAAAAGCAATCACAACAAAAGCTAAAATTGACAAATGAGATCTAACTAAACTAACGAGCTTCTGCACAGCAAAAGAAGCTATCACCAGAGTGACCAGGCAACCTACAGAGTGAAAGAAAATTTTTGCACTCTATCCATGTGTCAGAGGTCTAATATCCAGAATCTACAAAGAACTTAAACAAATTCACACACACACAAAAAAAAACCATCAAAAAGTGGGCACAGAATATAAACAGACTCTTTTCAAAAGAAGATATTTGGCTGGGCGCGGTTGATCAAGTCTGTAATCCCAGCACTTTCAGCCGTGGAGGCAGGTGGATCATGAGGTCAGGTGTTCAAGACCAGCCTGGGCCGCATGGCGACACCGCATTTCTACTAAAAACACAAAAAATTAGTAGGATGTGTTGGCGGGTGACCTGTAATCCCAGCTTCTGGGGAGGCTAAGGCAGGAGAATCACTTGAACCTGGGTGGCAGATGTTGCAGTGAGCCGAGATCCTTCCACTGCACTCCAGCCTGGGTGACAGAGCAAGACTCCATCTTAAAAATAATAATAATAAGTAAAATAAATAGAAAAAGAAGAAGGAGAAGGAGAAGAAGAAGAAGAAGAAGAAGAAGAAGAAGAAAAGAAGAAGAAGAAGAAGAAGAAGAAGAAGAAGAAGAAGAAGAAGAAGAAGAAGAAGAAGAAGAAGGGGACCTTTATGTGGTCAACAAACACAAAAAAGAGAAAAGCTCATCATCACTGGAGACTAGAGAAATGCAAATCAAAACCACAATGGGATACCTTCTCACACCATGTTGAATGGCAGTTATTAAAAAGTTAGGAAACAACAGATGCTGGTGAGGCTGTGGAGGAATAGAAACACTTTTACACTGCTGGAGGGAGTGTAAATTAGTTCAACCATTATGGAAGACAGTGTGGTGATTCCTCAAGGATCTAGAACCAGAAATACCATTTGATCCAGCAATCTCATTACTGGGTATATACCCAAAGGAATATAAATCATTCTAGCATAAAGACACATGCACTCATATGTCTATTGCACCACTGTTTGCAATAGCAAAGACTTGGAACCAACCCTAATGCCCATCATTGATAGATTGGAAAAAGAAAATGTGGCACATATACACCATGAAATAATATGCAGCCATAAAAAGAATGAGTTCATGTCCTTTGCAGGGACGTGGATGAAGCTGGGAACCATTAACCTCAGCAAACTAACACGGGAACAGGAAAGCAAACACCATATGTTCTCACTCATATGTGGGAGTTGAAAAATGAGAACACATGGACACCTGGAGCCAAAGATCACACACTAAGGCCTGTTAAGGGGTTGAGGTCAAGGGGAGGGAGAAAATTAGGACAAATACCTAATGCATATGGGGCTTAAAACCTAGATGGCAGGTTGATAGGTGCAGCAAACCACCATGGCACATGTAAAACTATGTAACAAACCTGCACGTTCTGCACATGTATTCCAGAACTTAAAAACAAACTAACAAAAGTGCACTAAGTCTGAGGGGGAGTGGGGGTAAGGGCAGGAGTCAGGCGAGGGTGGGTGCGTCCTGGAGTTTTATCCAGTCATTGACACTGATGTGGGAACCGCCCAATCAGGCGCGCGGTGGCAGAGGAGAGGAAAGGAGGGCGTGGCTTCCTGCATTTGGCGGGATCTGTGTCTCTCGCTGGTGCTGGCACAGGAGCTTGGGATCTGTCTCCTCTTTCGCCTCCTGCACCTTGAGAGCCCTGGGCTACTCTGTCACAGCCCCTGTTGCCCTGCGATCTGTAGGTCCTTGGGGACGCATAGTTAAGGTGCCAGGACATCCTGGAAGCTGGGAAATGGTGAGTATACGGGGTTCGCCATCCCGAGAGGGGAGAACAGACTGTGAAACCGGCAGGACCGGCCTCCCCACGGTTAGCTCCGAGTCTCCCGCAGCTTGGCCCTCAGTCCCCTGTGGCTGCAAGATGGCCGCTGGGCCAGCAGCGAGGACCCCCACGTCCCGTCCGGCCCATCCGGTCCTGTCCCTGGGCAGCGCCCTGCTCTGCGCCCACAGCCATGAGTATTTCCCAAATTGTTCAGGGAGGCCAGATGGGTCATCAGGGAAAAACCGCGAGTGGGTGTTTGCGTGGGAGGAGCTGCGGCCCGTGGGGTCCACAGTCTCTCGTGTTAAAAATTAACGGGAGTCTATGTTAAAAGGTTCATCAGTTTATCTGAACAAAGAGTGATTGGTGAAATGGAAAGCACCCAGCCATGATTTCTGGTCCACCAGAGGGGCATAAAGGAAAGGCTTTCATAAGATGCATGAGAAAGCAACCCAAATTCAAGAATTGGTTCCAGTTATATGGTAGCCTTATTTGAACTATCCAGATGGAAATGTCCTGGTTACATATTCAGAGGTTAATTGCATGTTTGTCATGGGTTAAACCTGCATTTTGCTTCAGGCTAAGATAGTGTTTTATAGGAAATATATTTGAGTTAGGTTTTAGATTTTTTTTTGTTTGTTTTTTGTTTTTTACCTATGAACACAGGGCACTAGAGCCACTTTAGACTAATTTTCTGATCTTTAATTATTTTAACACTCCAGAGGAGGACTGGTTTTCTCCTGTGTTTTTTTAATGTATGGCAAGTGGAACCTCTAATCGACCACCCTGTTTTTCATCCTAACTCAGGCTTGCAGTAAAATTATCAGTTCCCACTTTCTTTGCTGCATTCTCAAACGCAACACATGAGACCAGCTTTCCCTTGCCAATTTACAATGCTGTTAACTATATGTCCTTTATTATACATTTCGTTAAAGTTTTCTATTATTGGGTTTCTTTCTACTTCTCCCTACAGTTCTGGCAATATTTGCTTTTTATATTTAGAAGCCTCCCTTTTGGGTGCATAAATATATAAAGCTATATTCTCTTGAGAAATTAACCTCTATTATTGTATGGTAAACTCATTTCATTCTTGTGAGAGACATTGCTAGAAAGTCTATTTTGTCTAATTTAAGCATTACCATTTCACTCCTTTGGTTATTATTTGCATGGAATATCATTTTCTATCCTTTCACTTTTAGCCTATGCTCTTAATTCATAATTGAGTCTCTTGTAAGCAGCATATTATGAGGTTTAAAAGATTAATTTATCCACTCTGTCTGCTTTAGTCTCTTTTGGCTGCTATAACAGAATATCACACACTGGTAATTAATAAAGAATAGAATTTTATTTGACTCATGATTCTGGAGGCTGGGAAGCCAAAACAACATTATACTGGTATATGTTGAAGGTCTAGTTGCTGGATAATAACATACACAAAGATGTGAGGGAGAGAGAGCTTTTTTTTTTTAATATATAACAGATCCATTCTTGTTATAATTAGCCCATTCCCATAATAAGAACGTTAATCCATTCATGAGGGCAGAGTGCTTATAGCTTAATTAATTTTTAAAGGTTCCACCTGTTAATTCTAACATGTTGGCTATTAAATTTTATCCTAAATTTTGGAGATGACATTCAGTGTACAGCAGTATCTGTTTAGTAGATACTTTAATCTTTTTATTTGTAAGGTAGTGATAGGTAAGCAGTTACTATTGTACATTTGTAGTTTTCTGTCCATTTTAAGTTTGCTTCTTTTTTTTCTGGTTCTGTCTTTCCTGTGGTATTGTTCATTTTTGTTGAGACAAAGTTATGCTTTCTTGCTCAGACTGAAGTGCAGTGGCATATCACAGCTCACTGTAGCCTTAACCTCCTGGGCTCAAATAATCGTCCCACCTTAGCCACCCAAGTAGCTTGGACTGCAGACATGTACCACAACACCCAAGGAGATTTGATTCTTCCACCTTGGCCTCCCAAAGTGTTGGAATTATAAGCAGGAGACACCATATCCAATGTGTAATTTTTGTTGTTTGTGTATGCTTTAATTACTTTCTCTTTTTCTTTACTATTTTTTTTTCCTACTGGTTATCATGAGACTTATGTAAAACATCTTGTATTTTAATAGTCTAGTTTAAGATGATAACAATTTATAGTATTCTGAAATTCAGTATGTATTTACCATTTTAGTGACATTTATACTTTAGTATTTTTCATATTGTTAGTTAGCATTTCATCATATCAATGTGAAGATTTCTTCCAGACCATGGCTGGAGAAGGAAAGAAGGTGTGTTTTGCCTGATTCAGGGACTATAGAGAGAACCAAGTTCTGCAGGCCTGTCATCTAAGTCTCAGGTGAGTATGAATTCTCTTGTGTTTTCCACAGACTGTTGCAGTGTCAGGACCAAGGTCAAATGAGTTATAGCCAAGTCTACAGTAAGATGTGGCAGTATTCTGTTTTGAAGCGAGGACCATGATTGGCAAGCTTGCCACTTGGTCAAGTGCTTACCCTCTAAAGATGTCTTCCTTGGTCTTTGCCTCCAGCTGGGTGTCACAAACTCTGAACTGGATTCCAAGGCTTTCATGAATGCACTTATGTTTGCTGTGGCAGCTGCATTATGTCGTGGGGGATGTGGATGCAGAACCTCCCATTCTGTCGTCTTGCTTATGTTACTCTCCTTTATGTTTCACTTTCTCAAATGAATGTCAAGCAGGTGATTTTCAGATTCAAAAGTTCTAAAATAAATTGCTCAAATTTACACATTATGTAAGCTGTTAATAAAATTTCTTGTAGGTGCTACATATTTATTAAAATTTTTGGTTGTAATTTTAAGCTCACTGTAGGCAGAAAGGAATCATTAAGATTTCTATTCTTTTTTAGTCTGTATCTAAATGACCATATATTTTAATTCCAAATATTTACTTTATACTTCAGTAATGCTCATTGTATTTTGCAAAATTTATATTGTTCTTTTATTTGAAAATATAAGGCTTTTTTTAGCTCCTGAAATCTATATTATAGTCATATAGTTTTATTATAGTATTTGATAAGAAGAGCAGCAACATATTGAGAACAGAATAAAATTCTGCTGTCTTTTTAATGATTATTTATTAAATTCTTCTCATTAAAGCCTATTATTAATGATTGTAATGTATTTACTGTATAATTTTACTGCAATTTATTAAATGCCAATGACTTCTAATGTCTGCTTTTCATGACTGCACACAGTTTAAAGCTGTAGATATCTAAAGGGTTATTTTTCAGCCCGGCACGGTGGCTCATGCCTGTAATCCCAGCACTTTGGGAGGCCAAGGTGGGTGGATCACGAGGTCAGGAGATCAAGACCATCCTGGCTAACACGGTGAAACCCAGTCTCTACTAAATATAGAAAAAATTAGCCGGGCATAGTGGCGGGTGCCTGTATTCCCAGCTACTCGAGAGGCTGAGGCAGGAGAATGGCGTGAACCCAGTAGGCGGAGCTTGCAGTGAGCCGAGATGGCACCACTGCACTCCAGCCTGGGCGACAGGGTGAGACTGTCTCAAAAAAAAACAAAAAGGGCTTATTTTTCATTGTATATTTATGTTGTATTCAGGATTTTATGCATTAAAATCTCTCTTCTTATTTTCAGTTCTGTGTTGTTGTGTTTCTTTTCTGGGGGGGTATGTTTTCTCAGAGCAGTTAATTGTATTTTTGCTTTTAAAGCTTGATATCATGAGTTGAATGATAATTTTTTAACTCGGTACACATTATGACAATGTGATATTTAATTTATATTTGAATTAGCTGTGTTTGTTGCTTATAGATATATCTATGTGTTTTTCACCTATGTAAGTATGTCATTTTTTTCATCTTTTTTCCTTGTTTTTTTTTTTAAGTTTCAGATATGCTTTCTTTTTCTTTTTTTTGTTTTTTTTTTTTTTAAAGAGAATTTTAAAACAGAGTCAAATGAACAAAAATCAGTTATTTGTCCTCTTGCAGGGCGGGGAGACCTTCCTTCCCCACGGGTTTGAGGCTATGGCTAAGTGGTGAGCCTTGGTGAGACGCAGAAAGGATCCATCCCAGGCACTTGGCTAGAGGTAAGTAAAAATAGCCTTTGGGCCAGAAGACCTGATAGTTTGGGTACTCGTCTGGACATAAGTCCCCATCTTCCCAGAAATGTCGTCTTTTGTCTGCAACAACTGGCTGGAGAAATATTTCAGAAAGATGTGTGCCTGGAACACCCAAAGGCATACCTTTCCTTTCTCCTTGGCATAGGCCTTGCAGCACTGAAGAAAGACCAGGTTTGCAACGGAGCCTTCAATACTCTTCATCCCTATGGATCTCAGGGGCTCATAGGGTGACAGGAGAGGAGACAAGCTAGCTTGGGAAGAGTCTTTGTCCTTCAGCTTCTCCTCTACTGAAACACTATATACTTGGGGCCACAGTTCATAGCAAAACACACATGCTGTCTTTCTTTCTCTCACACCCCCATCTCGGGAACCCAACAACTTGATGGCAGGTAGCTCTGGGTATCCTTGGTCTGGCATTCACCCACTGGGCATCTAAGCTGTCCTAAAGCTCTTTTCAATCACTTCTCACTGTTTCCAGGCCCATGTGGGTAGGTGTTCCAGCCTTCACTCTTTCAGGCTGTTCATAAAGGCACAGTGTGGGAAAATCCCCTACTGTGATGGCCATTGCTGGGAAGCAGGGAAGGTTAAGGGCCCACTGCTGCCCAAGGCTAGTGTAGACACCCTCTGCTCCTCCACTCATCTCCTCAAATAATGATATCAGGTGCAGCAGCTGCTGTCTGGAATGTTATCAAACCAGGACTGCACAGGCACTGCATTCTCTGTGTGGAAGATGTAAGAAGCAGGCGAGTTGTCCAGGATGAGTTTTCCTCAGGTCCCTCCCCAGATGGCTGACGTCCTTGACATAGCAGCCCTGGTGAAACAAACATGACTCATGGGACAGGCAGCCCCAGACCATCCCATACCCGTCCAGCTCACCCGTCACAGGATCTGCCTACTTGTTCAGGCTGGGAAGAAGAGAGCAATGACGAAAACACATTTAAACATTTCCTCCATTCATGTCAGGAACTCATCCATATAAGGCCTCATGAGCACATGGATCTGGTGCATGGTCCCCTCAAGCTCTACAGGCACTAGGCAGTCAGCATTGCTGATTGGCTTAAAGGAGCTATGCACAAGGGTTTCATCCAGGTCAGTGACCATACAGATCCTTCCTTGATTTTTCTCTGTCACCTCTGGGAGCAGGCAGGTTCCTGGGATCTGATAAAACTGATATTGGAGACGCTGGAGCTGATCCGACATAGCAATGGTGTTGACTCCCTCCTTATGTGTGGATTGCTCAGCGGGGGAACTTGACTGTCCAACATGCTGGGTGCAAGAACAGCAGAAAGGGGACTTTTAAGATGTGGCAAACATGAGGCCTCTTCGGAGAGGACTTTGGAAACCAGGCCTTGCTTGGTAAGGACCAGGGCATCTTCCCTCCATGCCTGGGTGATGATGGAGCCTTGTTCCATCTAACAATCCTGAGGGCTGGGCTGGGGGGCATGGGCTGGGGCCTGATTCAGTTCCCGAGATTCTGACCTCCACAGCTGTTCACATACCCCTTCTCCTTTCCATACTGGCCGGGAAGGGAGGTGGCTTGTAGGGAGGGTGGTTGGCCTTGGCAGCGGCTCCCCAGTGTGCCCCCATCCCCGATTCCCCCAGCGAGAGCTTCAAGATCCTCAGTTTGGGTCTAACATAGAGAATCCACCAGAAACACATTTTTTTTTCAAGTTTTATTTTAAGTTCAGGGGTCCATATGTGATAAAGTTTATTTTTCAACTTTTATTTTAAGTTTAGGGGTCCATGTGCAGAGTATGCAGGTCTCTTACATACATAAATGCGTACCACTGTGGTTTACTGCACAGATCATCTCATCACCCAGGTACCAAGCCCAGCATCCGCAGCTATTCTTCCTGATGCTCTCCTTCCCCTCCCCCATGCCATGAAACAGGTGTCCAGTGTGTGTTGTTCTTCCTGATGTGTCCATGTGTTCTCATTGATCTGCTTCTGCTAATAAGTTAGAATAATAATAGGCGGTGTTTGGTTTTCTGTTCCTGCATTAGTTTGCTGGGAGTAATGGCTTCAAATTCCAACCATGTCCCTGCAAGGGACATCATCTCATTACATTTTATGGCTTCATAGTGTTCCATGGTGTATGTGTACCACATTTCCTTTATCCAGTGTATCATTGATGGGCATGTAGATTGATTACATGATGTTGCTATTGTAAATAGTGCTGCAATGAACATTTGTATACATGTATTTTTAAAATAGAATTATTTATATTCCTTTGGGTGTAATGGTATTGCTGGGTCAAATGGTAGTTCTGCTTCTAGGTCTTTGAGGAATCTCCACACTCTCTTCCTCAATGCTTGAAATAATTTACACTCCCACCAACAGTGTAAAAGTGTTCCCTTTTCTCCACAACCTCGCCAGCATCTGTTTTTTTTTTTTTTACTTTTTATTAATAGCCATTATAATTTGTGTGAGATGGTATCTCATTATGGTTTTGATTTGTATTTATGCAGTTATCAGTGATGTTGAGCTTTTCATGTTTGTTGGGCACATGTATGTCCTCTTTTGAGATATGTCTGTTCATGTTCTTTGACCCTTTTTTAATGGGGCCTTTTTTTTTTCTCTTGTAAATTTTGTTAAATTCCTCCTAGATTCTGGATATTAGACATTTGTGAGATGGATAGGTTGCATAATTTTTCTCCCATTCTCTAGGTTGTCTGCTCTGATGATAGTTTCTTTGGCTCCGCAGAAGCTCTTTAGTTTAATTAGACCCCATTAGTCAATTTTTGCTTTTGTTGCTATAGCTTTTTGCCTTTCTGTCATAAAGTCTTTTCTCATGCCTATATCCTGAATGGTATTATCTAGATTTTTTCTTCTAAGGGTTTTATAGTTTTGGGTTGTACATTTAAGTCTTTAATCCATCTTGAGTTAATTTTTGTACATGGTGTTAAGAAGGGTTCCAGTTTAAATTCTCTGCATATGGCTAGCCAGTTCTCCTAGCACCATTTTTTGAATAGGGACACCTTTCCCTAATTCCTTGTTTTTGTTAACTTTGTCAAAGATCAGGTTGTTGTAGGTTTTTGGCTTTATTTCTAGGTTCTCTACTTTGTTTCATTTGTCTATGTGTCTGTTTCTATACCAGTACCATGCTGTTTTTGTTACTGTACTCTTCTAGTATAGTTTGAAGTTAGGTAGAGTGACACTTCCAGCTTTTTTTTTTTTTTTCTTAAGGTTGGCTTGGCTATTTGGGCTCTTTTTTGGTTCCATATGAACTTTAAAAGTTTTTATTTTTCTAATTCTCTGAAGAATGTCAGTAGTTCAATGGGAATAGCATTGAATCTATGAATTACTTAGGGCCATATGCCCATATTCATGATACTGATTCTTCCTCTCCATGAGCATGGAATATTTCTCCATCTGTTTTGTGTCCACTCTGATTTCTCTGAGCAGTTGTTTGTGGTTCTCCTTGAAGAGGTCCTTCACTTTCTTTCTTAGCTGTATTCCTAGGTATTTTTTTCTCTTTGTAGCAAATGTGAATGAAAGTTCATTCATGATTTGTCTCCCTGCTTGCCTGTTGTTTGTGCATGGGAATGCTAGCTACTTTTGCACATTGATTTTATATCCTGAGATTTTGCTACTGTTGCTTATCACCTTAAGAAGCTTTGGGCCTGAGACAATGAGGTTTTCTAGATGTAGGATCAGGTCATCTGCAAACAAAGATAATTTGACTTCCTCTCTTTCTATTAGAATACTCTTTATTTCTTCCTCTGGCCTGATTTTCCTGGCCAAGGCTTCTGATACTATATTGAATGGTAGTGGTGAAAGAGGGCATTCTTTTCTTGTGCCAGTTTTCAGGTGGAACGTTTCTAGCTTTTGCACATTCAGTATGATATTGGTTGTGGGTTTGTTGTATATGGCTCTTATTATTTTCAGGTATGTTTCTTCACTTCCTAGTTTATTGAGAATTTTAAACCTGAAGGAATGCTGAATTTTATTGGATGCTTTTTCTGCATTTATTGAGATAATCATGTGGCTTTTTATTTAGTTCTCTTTATGTGATGAGTCACATTTATTGATTTGCATTTGTTGAATCAACCTTGCATCCTGGGGACAAAGCCAACTCCATTGTTGCAGATGAACTTTTTAATATGCTGCTGGATTTGGTTTGCCAGTATTTTATTGAGGATTTTTGCACAGTGTTTACCAAAGACATTGGCATGATGTGTTGTTGTTGTTGTTGTTGTTGTTGTAGTATCTATGTTAGGTTTTGGTATCTGGATGATGCTGGCCTGATAGAATGAGTTACAGAGAACTTTGTCTTCAATTTTTTTTGGATGGTTTTAGGAGAAAAGGTACCATCTCCTCTTTGTACCTCTGGTCAAATTCAGCTTGCTTGGTAGGCTAGTTATTACTGCCTCAGTTTCAGAACACATTATTGATCTATTCAGGGTTCAGTCTTGTGGAGGGTTTATTTTGCAAGGAAATTGTCTATTCTAGATTTTCTGGTTTATGTGCATACAGATGTTTATAGTGTTCTCTGATGGTTGTTCTTATTTCCATGGGACCAGTGATGATATCTCCCTTATTATTTCTAATTGTGTTTGGTTCTCCTTTCTTTTCTTATTTATTTGCCTAGCTAGTGTTCCATCTAGTTTATTAATTTTTTTCATAAAACAGCTCCTGGATTTGTTGACTTTTTTTTTTTGGAAGAGTTTTCAGTGTCTCTATCTCCTTCAGCTCTACTTTGATCTTGGTTATTTCTTGTTTTCTGCTACCTTTCTGGTTAGTTTTCACTTGGTTTTCTAGTTCTTTTAATCAAGATGTTAGGCTGTTAACTTTAGATCTTTCTAGTTTCTCTTTTTTTTCTTGTGGCAGAGTCTCACTCTGTCACCCAGGCTGGAGTACAGTGGCATGATCTCTGCTCACTGCAACCTCCACTTCTCAGTTTTAAGTGATTTCTGCTGTCTCAGCTTCCTGAGTAGCTGGGATTACAGATGTGCATCACAAAAACCAGCTAATTTTTGAATTTTTTTTTGTAGAGGTGGGGTTTTGCTGTGTGTTCCAGGCTGGTCTTGAACATCTGGCCTTAAGTGATTTGCCTACCCCAGCCTCCCAAAGTGCTGGAATTACAGGCATGAGCCACCACGCCCAGCCCTTTCTAGCTTTTTGATGTGGACATTAGTGCTATAAATTTCCCTCTTTTCTTGGTTTCCAGTGATTATTTTATTCTATCTTGGTGAGTCATCAGGGAAATAATCTTAAATTTACAATCAACATATAGTTTAAATCCATATAATTGTGTGAGAATAACCCTTTGTTATTTGAAGGTGATGTTTGAAAGGTTTTCTAACTGTGCCTTTTAGTTAGTCTTAAATTTCTAATTGTAGTTAAAAACATGCCATTGTCATTTCTGAAATTTTAAGTATATGGTTTAGAAGTGGTTAGTATAGTTCTATTGTTTTGCAGTAGCTTTTAGATAATTTTTGTCTTACAAAAGTAAAAGTGAATACTCATTACTTGTGAAAGAAGTTAGTTAGCTTACCTTAGGTAGATAGCAAGAGAAGAGTCCCTGGAAAGTCCCTGGTCAGTGCCTCATCCCTGCATAACATGTAAAGAAGCCTGGAAAAAATCAAGCTGCAGACACTAACAAGGGAACTAACATATGTTGTTGTGCTTGGAGACATGCCCGTGGCTGCAGAGATAGAAAAACCTCTGGCCCATTTGGATAAAAACTTGTACAAACCTCCAGCTCACTCAGATAAAGGAACAAGAACGACCTAGCACAGAAATGCCTTTGTTTGGCCAGCCACGGTGGATCATGCCTGTAATTCCAACAATGTCGGAGGCAGCTGTGGGCGGATCATCTGAGGTCGGGAGTTTGAGACCAGCATGACCAAGATGGACAAACCCTGTCTTTACTAAAAATACAAAACTAGCCAGGCATGGTGCTGCATGCCTATAATCCCAGCTACTTGGGAGGCTGAGGCAGGAGAATCGCTAGAACCCAGGAGGTGGAGGTTGCTGTGAGCCGAGATCGCACCATTGCACTCCAGGCTGGGCAACAAGAGCAAAACTGCAAAAAAAATAAAATAAAATAAAAAAAGAAAGTACATCTCAAAAAAAAGAAAGAAAGACAAGAAAAAGAAAAAAAAAAGAAACACCTTTGTCTTTGTACAGTCAGTGGGCTCCCAGGAAAATGTTCCTTCTCTTTTTGTTGGCATGGACACTGTGGAATCTGGTACATTCCGGTAGACATTCTCCTTTATTTGGACTGTAAGTCTGACCTCTATGAATAATTACTTCAGCCCCTGATTGCTCCCGTGCCAAGCTCCTTGGCCAAACTTTCACCTTAGCTTCTGGTAAGTCTTGGGCCAAGCTAAGCAGCATCTATCAATCATCCCTTCAGCTCCTGATTGGTCCTGGGCCAAAGGCCTGGGCCAAGCTGAGCCACACGTTTTTCAAGACAGCCTGTGAACTAGGCACATATCCTTCCCTTCCCAGTCCATAAAAACCCTGGACCCAGCCTCGTAGAGGGCACCACTTTCAGACACCTATCTCTGCTGGCAAAGAGCTTTCTTCTCTTGCTTCTTAAACTTTCACTCCAACCTCACCTTTGTGTTTACACTCCTTAATCTCCTTAGAGGTAGAACAAAGAACTCTGGATGTTATCTCAGACTACGAGAGACTGTTACATCTTGGTGCACTGCTGAGACTATGACACTTGGTTTCTTTGAGTTTGACTAAATATTTTACATGAGTGTAATTATACAGCTTTCCTTTTTGACTGTCTTATTTTACTTAACAGAATGTTTTGAATATTTGTCCTTATTGTAGTACTTTTCAAGATTTCCTTATTTTTAAGGCTGAATGCTATCCCAGTGATTGTACGTGCCCTGTTTGCTGAATCTACTCATCCTTAAGGGTACATTTGCTTCCAGGTAACATGTTTGTGACTAATACTACAATGTGCATATATCTATTCCATGTTCTGCTTTGTCTGTTTGGGATATTTTTCATACACTGATTCAGTACCATGTGTATTCCCTTGCTTTTGTTGTCTCATCCGTTGATGTTACGTCCCCCAAATTATTGCCACGACCAGTTGTCATGAAGCTTCACCCTTCTGTATTGTGCTAGGAATTTTACAGCTATAGGTTTTACATTATAGTCTTCATTCATTTTTTAAAATTGACACATGTAATTGTGCATATTTTGGGGAAACAATTATATATATATGTTGTATAACAATAAAAATCAGAGTACTTCTATACTTGTTGCCTCATGCATTTGTTATTTTTGTGGTGAGAATATTCAAAAGCTTCTTCTCTAGCTATTTTATTTTATCTTTAAGTATTAAATTTTTTTAGAGACAGGATCTTGCTCTAACACCCAGACTGGTGTGCAGTGGTGCAATCTTAGCTCACTGTAACTTCAAACAGTCTTCTAACCTTAGTTTCCCAATTAGCTGAGACTACAGGAAGCTGCCACCATGCCTGGCTAATGTTTTAATTTTTCATAGAGACAGGGTCACACTATGTTGTCCAGGCTCATCTTGAACTTCTGACGTCAAGTGATTCTCCTACCTCAGTCTCCCAAAATGTATGGATTGCAAGAATGTGCCACCGAAACTGGTCTCTTTTAGCTATTTTGTAATATGAGATAACTTTTCATTAATTATTATTATTCTACTGTGTAATAAAAAACAAAAACTTATTTCCCCTATCTAATCATAACACAATACCTGTGAAGCAACCTTTTCCCATCCTCCTGCTTCAGTCTCTGGTAACCCCTGTTGTACTCTTTGCTTCTATCAACCCTTTTTTTCAGGTTCCTCAAATGAGTGAGATAATAAGATCATAAAGTATTTGTGTTTCTCTATGTGGCTTATTTTACTTAACATGGTATGCTCAAGGTTCATCCATGCTCTTTTAACTGACAGAATTTTATGCTTTCTTATGGCTGAATAGTATTTCGCTGTGTATATATAGTACATTTTCCTTATCCATTTATCTGTTGCTGTACATTTGAATTGATTCCATATATAAGCTATTATAAATAGTTCTGTAATGAACATGGGAATGCAAATATCTTTTTGACACAGTAATATCCTTTCTTTTGGATATACACCCAGAAGTAAAATTGCTGGATCATATAATAGATATATTTTTAATTTCTTTCAGAAACCTCCATACTATTTTCTATAATGGCCATACTAATTTACAATTCCACCAACAAGGTATACATCCACTCTTTTTTATATCCTCATTAGTTCTTGATTTATTTATTTATTTTTATTATAGCCACTCTAATGGGAATGAGGCGGTACTTCATTATGGTTTGGATTTGCATTTCCTTGGTGATTAGTAATGTAGAGCATCTTTTTATGTTCCAGTTAGCATTTTTGTATCTCTTTTTGACAAACATCTATTAAGATCTTTTGCATTTTTAAAGTTAGATTATAAGTGTATTTTATTTTGAGATTTTAAAGTTTCTTATATATTCTGAATATTAGCCTTTTGTCACATGTATATGAAAACATTTTCTGTCATTGCCTAAGCTGTCTCTTCAAACTTCTAGTTGTTTTTTTAATATGGAAAAGCATTTTAGTTTGACATAATGTTGTTTGCTTATTCTCGATTTTGTTGCCCATGTTTTGAAATCTTATTTTAATAATCCTTTCCCCATCCAATGTTATAAAGCATTTTTTTATGTTTTTCTCTAATAGTTTCATAATTGATGGCATTACATTTAAGTCTTTAGTTTTAGTTGATTATCATATATGGCAAGGTACAAGGGTCTAGTATTATTTTTCTGCATATAAATATTTAAGTGGCCCTGCACCATTTATTAAAGAGATTAGCTTTTCTCTAAAGTGTGTTCTTGGCAATTTTGTTGACAATCAGTTGGCTTTAGGTGCATAAATTAACTTCTGGGCTTATTCGGCACATTAGTCTATGAGTTTGTTTTTATGCCAGTACAGTGCTGTTTTGGTTACTGTAGCTTTATAGCAAGTTTTGAAGTTTGATGAAGTGATGCCTTTAGCTTTGCTTATTTTGCTCAAAGTTGCTTTGTCTATTCAGAGTTTTTTGTGGATCCATATAAATTTAAATTTTTTTTATTTCTGTGAAAAAATGTCATTGGTACTTTGATAAAAATCACATTAAGTCTGTAGATCACTTTGGGTAGATAGATCAAGAGTATTCTTCCAGTGTATAAACACAATATTTTTTCATTTATTCATTTGTATTTTATATTTTTTATCCATGTTTTGTCGTTTTCAGAGTAGAGATC